>NC_000014.9:78248076-78399591 GCF_000001405.40 Homo sapiens | reverse complement strand
AAAGGTTAAACAGAAGAAGAAATTAGAAGACAGAGAAATGGAAAATTCTCATGCACTGAGTCTGAGAGCTTTAAGGAGAGTCCAGCACCCTGGACAGCTCCCTGGGAACCTTCGTATTTCCAAAATGAGCCTATACTGTAATTGACCATCATTTCTCATACACTTATCAAATGCTTTGGTGTTTTTGAAACAAGTGCACAGACTTCTGTTTCAGGGAGAATAGAGTATACATGCTTGTTTCTATTCCTTCTATTAAGTACAACTAAAAACTCTAGATACTATATATAAAACAAACATAAGATTTTTTAAATATTTTATTATGTGTATTTTTATTATGTATATGGTTGTTTTTATACTATATATAAAACAACCATAAGAAATGATAGGAGAATGTATACTAATTCAGGACCTTGAGATCTAAAGAATGACACAGCAATAAGTTTTCTGTGTTTTTGTTTTGTATCGCATATCTCAGACTAAGTATTGAATAAATTGGTAATGTGACAAAAAGCCCCATAGAAGGCCTGCTATCTCTAGTCAAAGAACCAGGAAGACAAAAAACTTTCACAAAGCAATTTCCATACTCCAGCCAAACATCACAGAAAGAGTGTGGTCCCATATCTACCCAGTCCAGTGAAGAACAACTGAGGAACATAGACCCTCACACTTGTTAGGCTATAATGGGGTCTCAACTTGCCAGCCTGAGTGGTATCAGATAAGGCCAAGCCAGGAGCCAGGACTTTCATCTCTGCCATGTAACAACAAAACCCTCCACCTCCATGGTGTCAATTGAGACCACATGGGGAGCCTGGATTTTTATTTCTATTCAGCAGAAACAAATCACCACTCCCCATCCCCTCGGGGTTATGTCAATGAAGTCCTAGTAGAGAGCCAGGACTTTTGCCAGCACCCAACATAATGAGGCAATTCCACCATTATCATCACAGTATCAATGGAGGCCACATGGGGAATAGTAACAAGGCATTTCTTTCACTCTTAGATAGGGAGGTATCAATGGAGGCCTCATAGGAAGCCAGACCTCCAAACTCTGCCCAACAGTAACAAGCCCCACCCTCATGTGTCAATATTGGCCAAGTAGAGAACCTAGACTTTTACCTGAATGAAATAGTAAGGAGGTGGTTCCCCCAACCACCTTTCCCCGACAGAGAAGTGTCAGACAAAGCCAAGTAAAACAGAAAGTTTAAATAAGACCCAGAGTCTCAAAATAATAACCAAAGTGTCCAGGTTTCAATGGAAACACATCATAGCAAGAACTGAGATGATCTCAAAATGAATAAAAAGAGACAATCAATAGATGCCAATAGTAAAATGATGGAAATGTTAGAATTACATACTTTTTTTTTTTTTTTTTTTTTTGAAACAGAGTTTTGCTCTTGTCACCCAGGCTGGAGTGCAATGGTGCAATCTCGGCTCACTGCAACCTCTGCCTCCCGGATTCAAGCAATTCTCCTGCCTCAGCCTCCCGAGTAGCTAGGATTACAGGGACGCACCACCATGCCCAGCTAATTTTGTATTTTTAGTAGAGACAGGGTTTCACCAGGTTAGCCAGGCTTGTCTCGAACTCCTGACCTCAGGTGATCTGCCCACCTCAGCCTCCCAAAGTGCTGCGATTACAGGCATAAGCCACTGCCCCTGGCCCTAAAACAGTCATTTTAAAAGCACTTCAGGCCAGGGGCAGTGGCTCATGCCTGTAATCCCAGCACTTTGCGGGGGCCAAGGCAGGCAGATCACTTGAGGTCAGGAGTTCAAGACCAGCCTGGGCAACCTGGTGAAACCCTGTCTCTACTAAAAATACAAAAATTAGCCTGGCATGGTGGCATGTGCCTGTAATTCCAGCTACTTGGGAGGCTGAGGCAGGAGAATCACTTGAACCCGGGAGGTAGAGGTTGCAGTGAGCCAAAATCGCACCACTGCACTCCAGCCTGGGTGACAGAGCTAGACTCTGTCACAAACAAACAAACAAACAAAAAAAGTGCTTCAAGGAGTATAGTCTCAGCAATGAAATAAAAGTCTCTGCAACTAAAAAGAAAATATAAATAAGAACAAAAATGACATTTTAAGAATGGGAAAAAAAAACAGAATAACTGATAAACTACAATAACCAAAATAAAAATCGCAGTGAATGGGCACAACAGCAGAATGGAGGACACAGAGGGGGAGAAAAATCAATTAATTGGAAGATAGACATTACCCAATCTAAACAGCAGCAAGAAAAGAGAAGAAGGTGAATGGAGCCACAGGGTCTGTGGACTATAGCAAAAGGTGTAACATTTCTGTAATGAAGTCCAAGAGGAAGAGGACAAAGGAGGCATGGCTGAAAAGTACTTAAAGAAGTAATAACTTAAAACTCCCCAACTGTGGTAAGAGACATCAAACTAAATGACTCAAGAAGATTAGTAAAGTGCAAGCAGGTTAAATAAAATGTTTAAATCCACATGATGGCACATGCTATGGACTGAATTGTGCACCCCTAAAATTCATATGTTGAAGCCCTAACTCCCAACGTAACTGTACTTGGAGATAGGGCTTTTAGGAGGCAATTAGGATTAAATGAGGTCATAAGGGTAGGGTCTTAATTTGATAGGATTAGTAGCCTTATAGGAAGAGGAAGAGAGAGAACTCTCTCATCTGTAAGCCAGAAAGAGAGCCCCAACCAGAATTTGACCACCCGGCACCCTGATCTCAGACTTGTAGCCTACAGACAGTGAGAAAATAAATTTCTATTGTTCAAGCCACCTCAGTCTATGATATTGTGTGATGGCAATCTGAGCTGACTACAATAACATATCAGAACTTCCAAAACTGAAGACCAAAAAAAAATCTTGAAAACAGTCAGAGAAAAATGACATCTTGCCTATAATGGAAAAATAATTTGAATGATAGCATATTTCTCATCAAAAGCCATAGAGGCCAGAGGAAGTGGCACAACATGTTTTAAATGCAGAAAGAAAATGACTGTCAATCTAGAATTCTTATCTGTGAAAATGTCCTTCAGGAATTAGGAAAACTCAACATATTTTCAGATGAAAGAAAACTGAAAGAAGTTATTGCCAGACCACCTACCTTCAAATAATGGCTAACAAAATTTCCCTAAACAAAGAAAATGACTTTTTAAAAGAGAAATCAAAACATCAGGAAGAACAACACAGTAAGCAAAAATGTGGACAAATAGACTTTTCTTCTCCTTTGAGCCTTCTAAATTCTGTCTGATGATTGAAATAAAAATTATAACACTGTGTGACATGGTTCTAACTACATGTAGGCAAAATATTTAAAATTATAAATAGGGGAGGGTAAAGAGTCATAAAGGGAGGATTACATAAAGGTTTCCACACTTCACATGGACAGTTAAAATGAGACTAGTAGACTATGATTGTGTGAGTGTGTGTGGCATGTGTGTGTAATACCTAGAGCAATCACTTAAAAAGCTATACAAAGAAATACATTCAAAATACCATAGATAAATCAAAATACTAAATTAAAAAAAATTCAAGTAACAAACAGGAAGGCAGAAAAAGAAAAGAGAAACACAGAGAACAAATAGAAAACAATGAAATAGTAGACTTACACCCTTACATATAAATGATGATATTAAATATAAAGAGTCTAAATATGTAAAAGACAGAAAATAGCAAAATAGATTAAAAACATGACCCAACTATATGCTATCTACAAAGAATTCAATTCTAATAGAGTGATACAGACAGGATGAAAATAAGATGATAGAAAAAGATAAATCACACAAAGATAATCAAAAGAAATCAGGAATGGCTCTATTAATATCAAATACATTAGACTTCAGGACAAAAAAAATCACAAAAACAGGGAGGATTAACATATAATGATAAAAGAGTCAATCCACCTAAATGTAACTGTACCAAACAACAAATCTGCAAAGTATGTGAAGCAAAAACTGAAAACGGAAAAATGAGATAAATCCAATTAGAGTTTTAGACTTCACACCCTTCTCTCAATAATCGATAGGACAACTAGATAGAAAATCACAAAGAGATAGAACCCAGTAACACCATCAACTAACAGTATCTATTAATAATTGGCATTTATCAAACACTCCACCCAACAGTAAAAGAATACACATTTTTTTCCAAGATAGTCCACATCCTGGACCACAAAACAAACCTCAACAAAATCAAAATAATTGAAATCATATGCAGTGCATGTGCCAACCAACATTAGACCAAATGAAACAACAACAACAACAAAAACAAGTAAACAGTTGTAAATTAAATAAGACATTTCTAAATAATATATAAGTCAAAAAGGAAGTCTCAAGAAAACCAAATAGTGCTTTAAGCTAAAGGAAAAATAAAACATATCAAAATTTATAGGACATAACTAAAGCAGTGCTGAGAGGAAAATTTATAGCACTAACTGCATATATTAGAAAAGGGGGGGAAGTCAAATTTATAATCTAAGGCCACATCTCGAAAACCTAAAAAAAAATAATAAATCCAAAGTAAATGGAAGATAAAGACAAAAGCAACAACTAATGAAAGTAAAAATGAAATAAGTATAGAAAATTAATAAAACAAAGAGATGATTCCTTGAAAAGCTCAAAATCAACAAGCATCTTGCAAGACTGACAAAGTTAGACAGAAGACACAAATTGTCAATATCAGAAATAAAAGAAGGGATATCACTACAGCCCCCGAACATATCAAAAGGATAATAAAGGAATACATACATAAATTTGATAATACTTACATAAATTTGATAATTTAAGTGAAATGGACCAATTCCTCAAAAAAACACTGTCTACCCCAAATCATTGAATATGGAAGAGATCATTTGAATAGCTACATAACTATTAAGGAAATTAAATCTATAATTAAAATACTTCCCAAAATAAAATCTCTAGGTCCAGATGGTTACCCTGGAATATTCTACCAAACATTTAAATTAATTAACTAATTCTATAAAATAACTTCCAGAAAATAGAGAAAAGGGAGATACTGCAATTCATTTTATGAAGTTATTATCGTGATACCAAAATGAGACAAAAACGGTACAAAAAAGAAAACTACACATCAATATCCTTTATAAATATAGACACAAAAAACCTTAACAAAATATTGGCAAACAGAATTTAACAATATATACAAAGAATTATATACCATGACCAACTGGGGTATACTCCAAGGATGCAAGTTGTTTCAATATTCAAAAACCTATCAATGTAATCTAGCACATTCTTCAGCTAAAGAAGAAAAAAACACATGGTTATATCAATTGACACATAAATAGCATCTGACAAAATTTAACACCCACTCTCAGAAGAATAAAAATAGAGATGAACTTCTTCATCTTAATAAAGAGCAGCTACAGAAAACCAATAGCTAACCATGGTGCTTGACTGAATGCTTTGCCCTTAAGATCATAAACAAAGTAAGAATGTCTGCTCACACTGTTTTTATTCAACACAGTGCTGGAAGTTCTAGCCAGTAAAATAAGGAAATTTAAAAAAATACATACGGCTCTGGAAGAAACAAATATAACTGTCATTATTTGCAGATAACATAATTTCTATGTAGAAAATCCCAAGTAATCTACACATACACACACACACATAGAACCAATATGTGAGTTCAGCAAGGTCACAGGACACAAGATAAACGTACAAAAGTCTGTTGTATTCCTCTATATGAACAATGGACAAGTAGCCACCAAAATTAAAAATACTACTTATGATTGCTCAAAAACTTAAAGCACTTAGATATAAAAATATAAACAGAATTTGTATGCTGAAAACTATGGAATGTTTATTAAAAATCAAAGAAGGTCTTAATAAATTAAGAAATATACTATGTTCATGGATTGAAACCCCAACATAGTGAAGATTTAATTCTCTCAAATTGATATACAGATTTAACACAATTTCCGTCAAAATCCAAGCAAGATTGTTTTGGGAGAGATAGTCAGGATTATTTAAAAATGTGTATGGAAATTAAAAGAAACTAGAATACCTGAAGCAATATTGAAAAAGAAAAATGAAGTAGGAGGAATCAATCTACATGATTTCAAAACTTACTGTACAGCTACAGTAATAAATACTTCAGAGTACTGGCAAAAAGACACAGGTCAATGGAACAGAATAGGGATATCATAAATAGGCCTACGGGAAGTTAGTATGGCTATAAGAGGGTAACAGGAGGGATCCTTGTGGTGATGGAAATGGTCTGTATCTTGATGATATCAGCGTCAATAACCTGGTTGTTACATTACACAATAGTTTCTCCAGATGTTACTATAGAGGAAACTGTATAAAGTGTACTTGGGATCTTGCTATATTATTTCTTACAGCTGCTTATGAATATACGATTACCTCAAAATAAAAAGTTTAATTTTAAAAAAAGTAAAAAAAAAAAATCACATGTATTTTCACATGCTAGACCTCTTCCTTGGAATTCTTTGTATATAAAATGGCCCTTGCCCCCGTTTACAATATATAATCACAGAAGAATGGTTTTCTCTTTTCTGGTAGATTAGTGAAAAATCTAGAGCTCAGAGAATCAGAACTTCCTTTCTCCTAACTCATCATCAGCTTTCGGATTCTGAAAGATAAAGCTAATTTAATCTCCCCTCCTTTCACCCACTTTACAATACTTTAGAAATCAGAGTTATTCTTGCAGTAAATCTATTATCCTATGTGATGAGTACTTTGGGCCTGCAAAAGGAAGCTAGTACCCAAAATTTATCCAACCAACTAAGAGATACCTGGCATTAAACACTTTTATTTGATTTCTCTAGTTTTAAGGGTCTTCTTGCTACAACCCACTGCAGATTGATCCTCATTTGTAAAATGAGTAGACTACAAGAGATAATAATGATAATATAAAATACAATAATAGCCAACATTTATTGACCATTTTACATGTATAGAGCACTAAGTTAGATGATTTATATCATCTCACTAAATCCACACTACATTTCAAAAGGATGCTATTATCATCCTCATTTTACAGTCTTATTTAGGCTTCGAGGGTTGATTTAACCAAAGAATCAGCCAGGACCCAGGGCAGCATAAATTCAAATCTAGGCCCTCTGGCCCTGTAGCCCCCAGTCTTAGCCACTACTCGAGGATTTAAACTGCTTTCAAGATCTAAGAATTCAACAATTTCATTCTCTCAAGAAATATCACAGGATAGAATTCCTGTACTGAGTGAGAGCTTGTTCTCTGAACACTTATCAACTTTTAGGGCTTACGATCTTTGAGGAGTCTGTATGCATTGCAATAACAGTGAGTGTCAGAGTTAGGAAAACACATATTTCATTGAGCACAGATATTCAACAATGTCTGACCTTCCCACAGTGGAGCCATGGATGGTTAGGCCATCTCTGTTGCATATCTTGACGTATTTGTCAGCATGATGTAGCCAGTTTTCTTCTAAGACCAAACTTCTCTTGAAAGATTATTATCAAACCGCATTTCTCATCGGTAGCTCTTTGCAATATTTTTATTCTGTTTCCCATTCTCATTGGTTTCTCCTTTTTTCCTTGTTTATAGTCACGTTTTCCTTTCTCTTGGTTACTTCATATCCTAGATTTTTTTTTCCTTTAGCACAGGACTTGTCACAACCTTATTGAATCAATCTTTGTGGTTTGAAGGGATGAAATATCTTGAGGCTGGAAGAACCACACCTCATCCTTCCATTCTGAGAAGGTGAAAAATAATACTAGAAGCATTTTTCTTAATTTTTGGCTGTTGTGAAAATAGTTCTTTATGGGAGAATTATAGAAGCCAACACCCAATACATTTTTCTCTATATCATTCTGAGATTATATGAGAAAATATATATGACTTTTAAAATAATTCCTTTGCTTTTCTGTTTTCTTTCTCTTCATTGGGTGTATGTGTTCATGTGTGCACATATTAGCAACTTTTTAGGTGTTCCTGCCAGCCTCTCATGGAGCCCTGACTAGTTACAGCAATCCTTTATAGCACCTTGCTGAGTGCATAAAAGGTCATTCCAGACCACACAAAGAGAAGGCTAGCATGTCCCACTGAGATATGCCAGAGTTCCAAAACTGTCATAAAAATAAACAACCAAACAGGCTTGAGTGAGTGGTCTCTGTGGGAAATGGTCTATCCTTAGAGAGATATGGTTATCCAATTTTTAAAAAGTCTGTTGAAGCCTCGCTTTAGTAGCCCATGAGCACATAGCCACACCTGCCACAAAAAAGGTCATGAAGGAACTTTTAGATACACCTTCACACTTGAAGAATTAACCTTCTTAGTAAACATTGTTGCCTTTCATGAGCTCATACCTCCTACTCCTCCCATCAAAGCACCTCAGACTTTCTTATCTTGAGCCCTCAGCTAATCCAGATGTGTGGTCAACTTCTGTACTCCTGTGTAAATGCAGAGGAACAGTGACAAGATAATCAGAACAGGGGTACATATGCACCATAGAATACTATGCAGCCATAAAAAGGAATGAGATCATGTCCTTTGCAGGGACATGGATAAAGCTGGAAGTCATTATCCTTGGCAAACTAGTGCAAAAACAGAAAACCAAACACCACATGTTTTCACTTTTAAGTGGGAGCTGAAGAATGAGAACACATGGACACAGGGAGGGTAACAACACTCACTGGGGCCTGTCGGGGGATGGAGGTGGGGAGAGCATTAGGGAAAAGAGCTAATGCATGCTGGGCTTAATACCTAGTGATGGGTTGATAGGTGCAGCAAACCACCATGGCACATGTTTACCTATGTAACAAACCTGCACATCCTGCACATGTATCGTGGAACTTAAAAATAATAACATTTTTAAAAAGATTATCTAAAATACTCATTTAACCAGCAATGAAATGATTTTCTTTCAAGCAATAGATGTACATGGAAGTATTTAACATTATATATTGGTACCCCCTACAAAAATGCTTAGGATCGTAGAGAGAAGTTAGACTCGGAAGAAACACTTGTTGTCAATACGGCAATATAAATAATGGGAAGGCCAATGGCAGATTAGAGAGTCTTTGCTCTATCTTGACTTTCTCCTTACTAATAAGGTAAAGGCGAGATGCAAAAAGTTGGAGCGAACAGCTAAAATCCCACTTGGAATGAGTGGGGTGTGCCAAGAAGTAAGGTCTAAACCTTGTAACACCGGTTTTCTGTCTACTTGAATTCCTAGTCTAAATCTTCTAGATCAGGAGGCAGCAAAGCAGATTAGGCTTTGTGGTCTATACAGTCTTTAACACAACTACTCAACTGCACCACTGTACTGCAAATGACACAATAGATAACACAGAAATAAATATCGCTGTGTTCCAATAAAACTTTATTTACAAAAATAGGTAGTGGGCCAAATTAGGAGCTTAAAAACCACTGCTCTAGATACTTACTGGTATAGCCCAATAAGCACTTACAGTTTTAAAATAGTATGCATAAAAATAAATAATAATAAAGGAGGACTTGCCGTACCCGGTGTTAATCTTTACTGTAAAGCTACAATAACTAAAACAGTGTAATACTGACACAAGCATCAGTGAAAGATTAACTGAACATAGTAGAGAACCTCATATATACAAAAGCTTGTGTAATACAGGAATCCTTGAAAATCAGTGAGGGATAAGATGAATTACTTATGCTGGAAAAGTTTATACTTTGGAAAGCAAATATAAGTAATTTTGTTTAGTACTTTATGCAAAAATCAATTTCATAAAGATTAAAAAGTTAAATTTAAAAATCACACAACGCAAATGAATATTTATCTAATCTCTGACTTGGAAAAGTTTTTAATATTAAAAAAGCAACTGAAGAAATCATAAAAGGAAAGAGTCTCAATAGTTTTAACTAGAGAAAAAAATCAAGTATTTCTGCCCCTCAAAGAACATCATAAACAAAATTGAGGCAAAATTGAAAGAAAAGTGTTTGCCATGAGTATGTATTTATAATACCAAGCAACAATACTATTAATCAATTAAAAGCTCATCAAAATAATAAGAGGAAAACTTAAATACTTGATAGAAAATAATAGGTCTATGACATAAACATTTTATATAACAATAAATTTAAAAGGAGAATAAGTTCACATTATAAATGATAAAAATTTCAAAGATAAAATCACACCCCTCAGCAGTAATGAAGGCTTATTGAGACAGGCATTGGCTTTCACGCTCTGCAGGTAAGTTAAGGGTGAATTGCTGTAACTTCCCTGGAAGGCAATGTTTCAGTATATATCAAGAACCTTAGGCCTGGCATGGTGACTCACGTCTGTAATCCCAGAACTTTGGGAGGCTGAGGAGGACGGATCACCTGAGGTGAGGAGTTCAAGACCAGCCTGGCCAACACAGTGAAACCCTGACTGTACTAAAAATACAGAAATTAGCCAGGCATGGTGGTGGGTGCCTGTAATCCCAGCTACTCGGGAGGCTGAGGCAAGAGAATTGCTTGAACCCAGGAGGCAAAGTTTGCAGTGAGCCGAGATGGTGTCACTGCACTCCAGCCTGGGCAACAGAGCAACTCCGTCTCAAACAAAAAAAAAAAAAAAGAAACTTAAACATTTTTATATCACTAAATCCAGTAATCTCACTACTAGAAGTTGACGTCAAAGAGCAAAACAAAGATTTATGTACTCATATATACATCACAGCATTATTTATAACAGAAAAAAATAGAAATAAGTTGAATATATATAAAAAATGATGAATTGAAGTATGGTATATTAATAATAATTAATAATAAAGACTATTATTCAACCATTAAAGTTAAATTCTCCAAAAACTTAATGATTGGGAAGGAAAAATTAAGAAGTAAACACAGCAAAATGCAGTAGGGTTTATTTCTAGATTAATCCTTTTTTACTTCCTTTGTACTTCTGTTTTCCAAGTGTTCTATTTCAGGGTCAGCTAACTCTATAAAGGGTTAGATAGTAAATATTTAAGGCTTTGCAGGCCACAGTCTTTATTGCCATCACTCAACTCTACCATCGTAGAGCAAAAGTAGCCAGAAAAAATATGGAAACAAATGAACATGACTGTGTTCCAATAAAACTTTATTTGCACAGACCTCTGTGTACCAACCCCTGTTCCATATGAACATGAATTACTTTCTTTAGTAAGAAAAAAAAAATCTTGTGCTTATTAAAACGTTTTTAATGGATTTTATTTACTAATTTCTTAACAGAACTTTCTCTTCTTTCCCTCAAAATTTCCTTATCAGTAGTTCAATGTTGGTTACAAACTGGTTTCTCACTCATGACTAAGACAATGGCTCACTACAGTGCTGTAGGCTCCATTTTCCTGCAGCTGCGCATACACTCAATAAGCCTAAATGTAGTCAAAGGAGCCTCGCACTTGGAGTCAGAAGCGCGAATTTCAGTTTTGGCTCAATCACTTACTCTCTAGGTGATTTCAGGCACATTATGTAACTGAAGTGACAGGTTTTTGACCTGTGAAATAGCAATAGTAATATCCATCCCACCTGCGCAATTATTCAATGAGGTCACATATGGGAGTATCTGGTCTGGGGCTGACACAAATTAGGCACTCATTAAAGATCCGTGATATTTTTATTTGAAAAGTATGAGAGTGAGTTCTGCTTTAAGAGTAAATTACACTTTGTTGAGGAGGGAGGATGTGGCACAGGGGTAGAAAAGGCAGAGAAAACTCCTGTTCTTCCCGAGCCACAGAGCCACCATGTGGTCCAAGAATGCAGCTCTGGCACATCCATGACATGCCTATGTGTTTTTACTTGCCAGGCCAAATACTTTATATCAGCCACAAAAACATAAGACTACATTATAAGCATTATCACCATAGGAAAGAAGGCAGTCACTCGCCTGCACTTCCCATATCTCTCTTTAAGAAGTCCTTATTGGATCAGAGATGTTCTGGGAGTAGGGAGGGAAAGGAATACGGATGGAAGATGGCAAGAAAGAAGCCTGTTGTAGAATTTCCCAGGAACTCACTATTCATTGACTGATTGTCTTCATTCCCAAGAGAGGGGCCAATTAGGCCACGTCTCAGCCAGGAGCCCTAGTCCTGCAAGGAATCACACTTCACATGTAGCAATGCTTTACAATTATGATTTGTGACTCTAGAAACAGCCCCTTCAGGATGTAGGGCAGGTATTATCAAGCTCTTTATGGAAAGGAGAAAAACAAGATTTCAAGAGGTTAAGTCACTTATTTAAGGTCACCCCAAGGTCACATAGCGTCTTCTAGATAAGTGTTTCTTTTCTTTGATATTCAAGACCATCTTCTGCCCTATAACCTGGTTCCCAGCATAACTCAAAAAAGAAATCATGATGCTAACCCAAAAAAATCAAATACTTTGGTACTTTTTTTATGAGGATGAAAGACATTCTCCAAATTAAGTAAATCATTATTTCCTTCAATATTAAATTAGAAATGACTTGAAGTATAAAATGTCATTTTATTGACATTTGTTATACATAAAGTACTACATTGGTCTTGTGAGCTGGGGGTGAGCATTGCAGATAACCTCAAAAACAATATTAAGTATAGGCCGGGTGCGGTGGCTCACACCTGTAATCCCAGCATTTTGGGAGGCCGAGGAGGGTGGATCATTTGAGTCAGGAGATCGAGACTAGCCTGACCAACATGGTGAAACCCCGTCTCTACTAAACATACAAAAAAATTAGCCATGCATGGTGGTGCATGCCTGTAGTCCCAGCTACTTGGGAGGCTGAGATAGGACAATCACTTGAAATGGGAGGCAGAGGTTGCAGTGAGCCAAGATGGCACCGCTGCACTCCAGCCTGGGCAATAGAGTGAGACTCCATCTCAAAAAAAAAAGAAAAAAGAGAAACAATATAAACTATAACCTGATCAACATAGCTAAGGAGTGCAGTGAACATGGCACCACCCTTAGAATCTGAAGTCCAGGATTCAAGTTCTTCCTCTGCCACTTGCTAGCTTTGTGACATAGGTCACTTACATATTCTAGCCTTTGGTTTGTTCATCCATAAAGTAAGAATAATTATATCTACCTTGCAGATAATGTGTTTTCTTAAACAAATGTAAGGCATCATCATGCTAGGCAGAACATGAAGATCTGATGTTAAACTAAGACCCATAAGAGACAATATATAAGACTTCTGGGTCCCTTGGTAAGATGCTATAAGCGACACTCTTCCACCTTCCTGTTCTTCCCTTCACCTACAGTCACAAAGAACCTTCATCACAGGGGTACAATAAAGCCATCTGCCTCTGACTACCTGGTGCTAGCTTTGAATTAATGACCCCTAAGACCATGGAACAACTTTGAAAAGCAAACTTTTAAATTGATTTTTCTTTGCCTTTATCTATCTCCTTTTAAATTACAGCAAAGAGAGAAAGAGGAAGAAAAAGATAATTTTAAGGCAAAACACTCAATTAACTCTGAAAATCAAATATAATAAACTGAATATAGATCTGTCTGGCTACTGTAACTGTTTCTGTCTGCCCGCATCTATCTATCCCTCTATTATCCTCCCGTCTCTCTTTAAGGAGACAGTCAGATACTGAAAATGGGACTTTTTTTGCTCTTTTGTTTTGCCAGTTAAAAAAAAAAAATCTAATACCTTAGAGCTCCTTATAGAAGGAAAAAAGGAATAAAAATCAGAGGACTTTTCTTCAGTTGCTCCTCACCCTCCTTGATTTTCACAGGAGTCAAAGGGTAAGCTGTGGTCTAACAATTGTCACAGGTAGTCCTAAAGGTTCAGTCTTGACATTTGGATCTCGTAGCATTTACCAAGTGCTTCCTTGTAGGTGTCACTAGGACAAGACTGCAGTAAATGGAGGAATAAAGAGTGTCTTACCTTCTAAACCTTGTGAGAAGGTCCAGGGTGTGGTACTAAGAAAGAAGAGGATTCTTAGATGTGTAAGTTGAATCTATTACTGATTTAAACATCTGCACTAAGCCAAACGTCATCCAAAATAGTGAATCCTTTCCTGTATGGGTGACCAGTAGAACTGCCATTTCATACATAGAATATTTCCCAATCACTGGCCTTCTGTCCCTGGAGAAATAAGGCACATTCATCATAAGAAGGGGTAAGAGGTTATTCTCTATAAGTTCAGGAATTGTGGGTGCTTAGATTTATAACTGTGCTGGCTCATTGGGTTTAAAGTCAATAGAACACTATTTTTAACACAATTAATTTCAATTTTTTGTGCTGACTTAATAACTTTTTAAATTAACTTAATTACTTTGGCTTGCAAATGTGTTCACTTTTCATAATTTTTTATGATTAGGAAGTTTTATATGCGTGTGTGTGTGTGTGTGTGTGTGTGTGTGTGTGTGTGTGTGTGTTGCTTAAAGTTCAGAAAATAGGAAGAAGTTTAAAAAAAAATTCAAAATTGCCCATAGCCCTATTATCCAAAAGTATCCCTCATTAGCATTTTGATTTATTTCCTTTCATTTTTTTTATTTGTGTGTGTGAAACCACATGACATATATAAAGTATGTTGTTTCTTAGAAGGGAGTGAGTCCTTGTTTTACTTCAATCAAATTTCCTCTCAATTCTTTAGCAGATTTTTCTGGCCAGTTTGCATATGGGACAACCATTAACTAATAAAGAATGACAGAGAAAATGTTGAGGCTTCTGCAGTGTTTGATTTCCCTGGTTTCATTTTTTTTAAGGTGAAAGAAAATAAAGTTTAATCAAATTTCTTAATTAGCTACATGCTGAATCAAGATCCAACGTCTTAAAGTCTAGAGTGGGGTGCAAAAAATACATACGGATAAAACGAGCAGCATTCTAAATCTTAGAGTTATGGAATCACCGAATGGTATATTTGAAAGAGACCTGAGCGATTGCAGAATCCAGTTGTTTCCTAATTGTGCTCCATGGAATCCTGGAGGATCCTTAACGTACCCCAGTAGCTTCCAAGGCTGGGAAAGCCAGTAGCAAAGGCAAGGGAATCTGGGGAGGGGGCAGAATAGGAAGGCTGAGCAGGGTTCTCTCTTTCCACCCTCAAGAACTCCCCCAGTTATAGTGGGTCTACATTTTTCATGTTTTACATCTTGGGTATCTAAATAAAACTTCATTTTATGAAAGTAAGCAATTGTTTAAAAAATAAAAGTTGAAAATTGCTGGTGTGTTTGAGACCTCTCATGCTACACATGAATAAACTGAGGGTCAAAAATATGAAATGATTTATCCATGGTCACACAGCTAATTAATGCAGAGCTTAGTGGATGACTGTCATTGGGGGTTGGGGATGGTTATCCAACATTCCAGCCTCTCCTTATCTTGGAGTATGAGTATGCTATAGAAGCATAATTGGGAAGAATCTTCCTTTCCCAAGCTCAAGCAGCCAAGGCATAGACACGTGACAGGCTCAACCAATTGGATACTTCTTGCCTAATTCTAAATCTAGAGAAAATGATTCTCAAATATATTCAGAGTGGCAGAGATCTGGCCAGGTTCCTCCTTCTGCCTAGTCCTCCAAAGTCCCATTGGTTCCTACCTGTTTTCAACACCTGCTCCTCTGGGTTCCCAGTAATTCTGTCTCCTTCCAATAAACCAATGTTTATTTTATGAAGCACTTCCTGGTACATAGACTGTATATGAGAACCCATTACTCCTTACAGATAATCAACTCCTCTTTTCTCTGTGCCACAGGACCAATTGGCTTTTACCATGTAGACTCCATGTAGACCAAAGTAATACCTTCAGTTGGGAAAAAGGTACTGCTACTGGGATAGATTCCTCATCAGGGAATTTTATAAGGTCAAGGTACAAAAATTCTCCTAGGTGGGAAATTGGGCAAAGGCAAGGATTAACACTTACTGAGTACCTTCTATGCATCAGGCATCACTCTCCATCCTATCTGCTCTCAAGGTAGACATTATGAGCCCCATTCTACTGGTAAGGAAAGTTACACCCCAATGAGTGGCTAATTCATTAGTTGCCAAGTCAGGAATAGAACTCAAAAAAACTAAAGACGCTTAAGTTCATGTATCTTATGCAGTTTTATATTATTGTTTAAGAGTTGTACAGTAGATGATATGCCTATTGTAAACATCTTATCAAGAAATTTTAAAAGTTAAAATCCCAGTCTTCCAAGATCAACTCATTTCTATTTACCTAAAATTAGATTAAAGGTAGATAAATAGATATAATGAGATAAATAAATATGCCAACAACAGAATGATTCACTCCCCAGGTATCTCTCTGCACTGGTTTGAAACCATTGTAGTCACCATGTAGAGCTTTCCATGGTACAGGAGGAAATCACTGGGCCCATCTCGCCCCAACAGCTAACTGCATTTCCCATTACTCATGTTCACCCTATTTTCCATAACGAAATGAGCATGGCCAGAGGAGATTGTGAGCAGACCTTGGCAGGGAAGCCTGATAAAGCAAAGACACCATGCCAAAAGTGGCCTCCAGTCATTCCGAGTTCACTCCAAGCACAGATGTCTACCCTCAGATACCAGACACCTAAGGGAAGAGCCCAGCCCCTGATTCACTTGTAGGAGGGTTATCCAGGACAGAGTCTGGCAAGTGGCATTCTTTACTGGAAGGAATTTGATTAATCATTCTCATTACCTTTCAATTCCATGCACCTGAGCTCATTTGCTCTTGGCCCAGAATAAGCAGTTGGTGGCTTAAATGGCATGAGAACACCCAAACTGACCATAATAAGCAGAGGGAGATTGCCCCCCTCCTCCCCACACACACACTCCTGCAGTGTGATCTCAGATCAGAGAGATCGTACAGACCTTGCAGCACCTTATCAAATCCCTCTATCCAGCCTCACAAGCCCCAGGAGATAATGTCTCCATACATATCCTGAGTACTGTTACTTTAGAATCCTAAGTACAAATTGGAAACAAGGAGAGGGAATAGGGGCCTGTTCAGAGCCAAGCTTCCCCTTACTAGGAATAGGTGCCAGTAGCCATGAGCACGTGCCAAGAGAAAATGGATAGCGGGATCTGCAAGGCAAGCAACACGCACTATTGTTAGTATATGGACATTTAGCCATATCTCACTTAAATCTCTTATTTACACTACTTCAGTCTCTTCCAGGTAACCACAAGGGTTTCCTAACATTGACTTGTAACACTTGCAATGCTAGATCTATGTGGCTCAGTCGCTTTGCAATAGCACTGCTTAAGAAAACACATTGGTTAATATCTTTCCCTGAAGTTCTTGGAAACAAGAAAGGTCCCCCTAACACATACACAGAATGCATCACTAACAAAAATCCTCTCTCTGTTCTATCTACTTTCATCATGTCCCACAGCTATTATAGAGTATCTCTATCCATCAGCCCACAAATCCTCTCTTCCACCTCATCATACTGAACTTTTTTCTTCACCTTTATCTCTGCCTTCACTGTACTTTATTATGCATATCAAAGTATGCAAAGTATAGCCAGCAGGCAATATCTGGCCTGAACACATGTTCTGATTGGCTGACAGTTTTTTATTACTTTTTTTATATTGAGTTAATTGTACATTTACATGAATGTTGTAAGAAATAATACAGAGAGTTCCAAAGGATCCTTTATCCAGTCTCCCCCAGTAGTAACATCTTGTGAAACCTATAGTACAATATCACAAGCAGAATATTGATGTTGATACCATCAAGATACAGGAAATTTCCATCACAAGAACCCTTCAAGTTGTCCTTTCACAGCCGCACACATTCTTCCCTCTCCCCAGGCCTAGACAGTGGAAACCACTAACCTGTTCACTCTTTTATATTTTTGTCATTTAAAGAAAGAATAAAGAATGAAATCATATAATATGTACCCTTTGGGGAATTGGCTTTTTTCACTCAGTATAATTATCTGGGGATTCACCCAGTTTATGGAATGAATCAATAATTTAACCCTTTTGATTACTGGCAAGTATTCCAAAGTATAGATGTACCATGGTTTGTTTAACCATTCACTCATTGATGGATATCTGGGTTATCTCCAGTTTGGGGCTATTATAATATAATCTCCTATAGACATTCTTGTATAGGATTTTGTGTACACGATTTTGTAATACTGTCATTTCCCTGGGATAAATGACCAGGACTGCAATTGCTGGGTCATGCAGTTATTGCATGTTTAGTTTTTAAAAATTGTCAAACTCTCTTCCAGAGTGGTTTACCATTTCACATATCACCAGCAATCTATGAGTGATCCAGTTTCACTACAGCTTTTTTACTGTTGACTTTTAAGGGTGCTTTATATATTCTAGATAATAATCCTTTGCTGGATATTGCAAATATTTTCTCCCACTCCATAACTTGTCTTTTCATCCTCTTATTGGGGATTCTCTTAAAGCAAAAGTTTTTAATTTTTATGAAGTTTATTAATTTCCCCCTTAGGAATTATGCTTTTGGGGACAAGCCTAAGAAACTCTTTGGTTAGCCCTAGAACTTGAAGAAAACTCCTATGTTTTTCAAAAAGTTTTTACATTTTACATTTATGTCTGTGATCCACTTTGAGCTAATTTTTTAATAAGTAGTGATACTTAGGTTGAGGTTCATTTTTTTGCCAGTGGATATGCAATTGCTCCAGCATCATCTGTTGAAAAAGCTACCTTTTCTCCATTGAATTACTTTTGCACTGTTTTCAATAATCAGTTGGGCATATTCGTGTGGCCATATCTGGATCTTCTGTTCATCGGTGTGTCTATCCCTTTACCAGTAACACACAGTCTTGATTACTGTATCTATATAATAAGTTTTAAAATTGAGTAGTCTCATTTCTCCCATGGCATTCTTCGTTTTAAAAATTAGGTTAGCTATTCTGGTAGCATTTCCTTTGCAATAATCTTGTCTATATCTAAAAAAAAAAAAAAAAACTTGATAAGATTTGAAAGAAATTGTGTTCAACCTGTGTATTAGTGTCTGTGACTACTGTAAGAAATTAACACAATCTTGATGGCTTAAGAAAACAGAAATTACTCTCTCACAGTTCTAAAGACCAGGAGTCTGAAATCAGAGGATCAAGCAAGTTTGCACTCCCTCTGGAGGTTTTAGGGAAGAATCTTTTCTTAATTCCTCCAGCTTCTGGCACTGGTAACATTTCTTGGCTTGTGGCTGCATTTCCCTCTGCTCTGTCTTCACATTGCCTTCTCCTTTGTGTCTGTGTACTCCTGTGTGTGTGTATCCTGTAAGAAAACTTGTCATTGGATTTATGCCCACCCAGATAATCCAGGATGATCTCCTCATGTCAAGATTCTTAAAATAATTACATCTGCAAAGACTCTTTTTCCAAGTAAGGTAGCATTCACAGATTCCAGGGATTAAGATGTAAACACATCTTTTTTTTTTTTTTTTTTTTTGAGACGGAGTCTCGCTCTGTCGCCCAGGCCGGACTGCGGACTGCAGTGGCGCAATCTCGGCTCGCTGCAAGCTGTAAACACATCTTTTGAGGGGCCAAACTCAACTCATTACAACCTGGATATCAATTCAGGGAGAATTGAAATCTCTACTATTTTGAGTCTTCCAAGTCATGATATGTTAGCTTCTCCATTTATTTAGATTGTTTTTATTTCCTCTATTTCTTTTAGATTTTATTTCTTTTAGCATTGCAGTTTTCAGCATACAAGTTGTGCACATTTTGTTAGATTTATACTGAAGTATTTTATTTTCTGAGCCATTATAAATGGCATCATATTTTAATTTTGATGTCCATGTGGTTCACTACTAATACATAGAAATACAATTGTTCTTTGTATATTTAAATTGAATCCTGTGACACTGCTGAACTTACCTGTTAGCTCTGCGAGTGTTTATGGTAGATTTCTTGGGATTTCTCTGTCTGCTGAAAATAGGGGCAGTTTATTTCTTCCTTTCCAACTTATATGCCTTTTATTCCTTTTCTTGCCTTATTTCACTGGCTAGAACTTCTAGCACTATTTGAATAAGAGCTGAGAGAGCAGTTATTCTGGGTTTCTTTATGATCTTAGTGCAAAAGCACTTAGCCATTCACATGAATTATAATGTTAGCTGTAGGTGTTCAGTGAATGCTCCTTATTGAGAATGTTTCCCTCTATTACTATTTTTCTGAGAGTTTTTATCATAAAGAAGTGTTGAATTTTGTCAAGTGCTTTTTCTGCATCAATTGATATAATCACATGATTTTTCTTTTTAGCCTGTTAATATTGTGGGATATATCAATTTTTGAATGCTGAGCCAGATTTGCATTCCCTGCACCCTTCTACTTTACTTGTTCCTGGTACATAATTCTTTTTACATATTGCTGAATTGTACTTGCTAATATTTTTTTAAAGATTGTGTGTCATATTCATGAAGGACATTGGTATGTAGTGGGGTTTTTGTACTATCTTTGTCTGGTTTTGGGTATCAGAGTAATACTAACTTCATAAAATAAATAGGGAAGAGATTTCTCCTTTTCTATTTTCTAGAAGAGCTTATATGCAATTAGTGTCAACTCTGCTGTTTGGTAGAATTCTCAGTACAATCATCTGGGCCTAGAAGTTTCTTTTGTGGGAGTTTTTAAATTATGAATTCAATTTCCTTAATAGTTGTATGGCTACTCATATTATCTATTTTATATTACCAAGTTGCGGTAGATTTTTTTTTTTCAGAATGTGATCTGTTTCTTCTAAGTTATCAAACTTTTGTGTGTAGGGTTGCTTTGCAGTATTCTTTTATTGCCTTTCATTGTCTACAATGTCTATAGCGATATCCTTTATTTCATTTTTGATATTGGCAATTTCTGTCTTTTCTTCTTTATTAGTCTAGCTAAAGTTGTGTCAATTTTGTTGTTCTTTTCATGGAATCATTTATTTGTTTCATTGATGTTCTAGGTTGTTTTTCTGTTTTCAGTTTCATTGATTGCTGCTCTTCTCTTTATTCTTTCCTTTCTTCTGCTTTCTTTGGACTTACTTTGCTCTTTGATCTCTAGATTTTTAAGATGTGAGTTTGATTATTGATTTGAGACTTTTCCTCTTTTCTAATGTATGTATTTAGCTTTTAAGATGTGAGTTTGATTATTGATTTGAGACTTTTCCTCTTTTCTAATGTATGTATTTAGCTACATAACTGTCTTTCTCAGCATTGCTTTGGCTGAGTTTCACAAATTTTAATATGTTACATTTTCATTTGGTTTAATGATTTGATTTTTTTTTTTTTTTTTTTTGAGACAGAATCCTGTTCTGTTGCCCAGGCTGGAGTGCAATGGCACGATCTTGGCTCTCTGCAACATCCACGTCCCGGGTTCAAGCGATTCTCTCACCTCAGCCTCCTGAGTAGCTGGAACTATAGCTGTGCACCACCATGCCTGGCTAATTTTTGTATTTTTAGTGGAAACGAGGTTTCACCATGTTGGCCAGGCTGGTCTCGAACTCCTGACCTCAGGTGATCCATCCACCTCGGCCTCCCAAAGTGCTGGGATTATAGGCGTGAGCCACCGTTCCCGGCCTATTATTTGATTTCTTGAAACTTCCTCTAACTTATGGGTTATTTAGAAGTCTCTTGTATAGTGTCTAAGTATTTAGAGTTTCCTGCTATCAATCTGTTATTAATTTCTAGATTGGTTCCATTTTGGTCAGTGAACACAATTTGTATTTCAATTCTTTTGAATTTATTGAGGTTTGTTTTATGGCCCAGGATGTGGTCTATCTTGGTATATGTTCTATGGACACCTGCAAAAAAATATGTATTCTGCTGCTGTTGGGTATTCTATATATGTCAATTAGTTCCTATTAGTTGGTAGTGGTTTTGAGTTATTTTATATTGTTATGGACTAAATTATGTTTCCCCATCCCAATTCATATGTTGAAGCTCTAACTCCCAATGTGACTTTATTTGGAGACAAAATCTTTTAAAAGGTTAAATGAGGTGATCAGGGTGACCAGTAAGACTGGTGACCTTATAAAGAGACACTGGGGATGTGCAGGCACACCAAGGAAAGGCCAGGTGAGGACATATTGAGAAAGCAAGCCAAAGAGAGAGGCCTCAGCAGAATAAACCAAACTTCTGACACCTCTCTCTTGGACTTTCAGCTTCCACATTATCTTGTGAGAAATAAATTTACATTGTTTAAGCCACTCTGTGTGTGACATTATGTTACGGCATCCCTAGCAGACTCATACATTTATCCTTGCTGATTTCCTATATCAATTTATTACCAATTACCTATTACCAATTTTGAGAAGACTGTGAAGCCTCCAACCATAACTGCGAATTTGTCTATTTCTCTTTTTAGTCTATTTGTGCTTCACACATTTTGCAACTCTGTATTTTGTACATGTACATTTAGGATTGCAGTGTTCTTGGTACACTGACCATTTTATCATTTAAAATGTCCCTGTTTGTCTCTGGCAACAGTCTTTGCTCTAAAGTCTATGTGATATTAATATCATCACTCCTATTTTCTTTCAATTAATGTTGGCATAATATATATTTTCCTATCATTTTCATTTTGTCTACATAATTATATCGAAAGTGTATTTCTCATAGATAACACAGAGTTGGGTCATGTTTTTAATCCTTTCTCCCAATCTCTTTAATTGGAATTATTAAGCCATTTACATTTAATGTAATTATTGTTATGTTGGGGCTTAAGTCTACTATTTCTTTTATTTTCTCTGTTCTTTATTTCTGTTTTCTTTTTCCTGCTGTCCTATTGATTACTTGAATAATTTTTAGAATTCCGTTTTGATTTGTCCATAATGTTTTTACATACAAAGTATATATCTTTTTGTGTAGCTTTCTTAATGGTTTATCTGGTTATTACCTTATATATACATAACTTATCACAATCCACTCGTGTCATCATTTTACCAGTTGCAGTGAAATGAAATTTATCTCCCTTTACCTACCCCTGTTAATTATATAATTGTCAAATATTTCTGGGCTATTCAGCTGGAATAGGGTTTTCTGTCCTGTAGGCTTCCCCTTTCCAGTTTTGGGGCTAGAGAAAACAGGCTTTTCTTGGGCTTTTTTGCCTGTGTAGATTGATGTTTCCAGCTTTTCAGCTTCTTTAGCTCCAGATATGGAATACAGGAGGCAAAAGAAAACTCAAGAAACTTACTACCATGTATTCCCACGAGTCCCAAGGTTCCTAACTGGTTTCCCTTTTCCCTCTCATGTTTCAGAGTCTTCTTATATATAATGTCATTGGGTTTTAATTGTACTTAAGGATGGAACAGGGACCAATATGTCTATCCAATTTTTTGGGAGTGGGAGTCCCTGTGGCAGTGTTTTTAAAATTGAAAAATCTAATGTAAAAACCAGATCTGTTACTATTCTTGAAAAATTGGGACATGTGGCAACAGTGGGTTTGCATTATGCATTCCAACAATTTGCTCTAGCTGAGTAGAAGCTGACCTCTTTAGATGGGGTATGCCACAGTGGGAACCATGATCCTTCATTGCTTTATACCCATCCTGCATCACTCATATATGTTAGCCCTAGTTCCTGTAGAACTTTGAGTTTGCAACTTTCAATGATGCCTCCCTGGCTAAACATGCCCATTTTTAGTCCTGCTACTTTAATTCTCTCTTTCTTCTCAGTCTTTCAGTGCTGTATCACAAATCTCAAAGAATGGATCTAGCAGAGATGATATTATCTTTAGGAGAATGAGTGTGTGTGTGTGTGTATGTGTGTGTGTGTGTGTATCAAGGAGGAAGAAGTTGAACCAGCAAAAATTTTTAAAAAAAGAATTTTCACTAACACTGAACCATGTAGATTTATCCTTTTTAGGGTTCCTTGGGAGTCATGAGAAGGGGAAAAGCTGGGGACCTTAATTTATTATAAATTGTCACATCATCCCCACCTCACAGCCTTGGTAATTGCTGTTTTCCTTCTTTGAACCTCCTTTTTGAGATCACTGCAGGTGCACTGCATTGCACTCAGATTTCAGATAAAATGCCACTTACTTGGAAAGATCTTCCCTAATGACCTTATCTAAAATAGACCTCTTCCATTGCCAACACTTTCTATACATTCATTGTATTTTTCTTCACAGCACTTAACATTTACCTGAAAACAAAATACATATATATACTTGTTTATTGCCTATCCCTTAGAGCATGGAGGGATTGTCTCTCTTGTTCACCATTGTATCCTCAGTTCCTGGCACATAATAGGAGCTTACTAAGTATGTAATGAGTGGATGAATCATGTCCTGAAATGTCTTAATCAGAACACTGACAAACTAGAAAGTATCCAAAATAGGATGATTAAAAAGCTTACAGTCATGGAATTGCCAAACAACTGAGAATCTGGGACTATAAATATTGAAAGGTGAGACGATGGCTCTCTCAAAATATTTAAAATTTAGTTTATTGGAAGAAAGAGGAAATAAATATGTGCCATGTTGTTCCAAATGGCATCCCTACGGTTAATTTGCAAAGAGGCAAAGTTTTTCCTACTATAAAGACAGACTTTCTAATAAATAGAAACACTTTAACAGCGAAAGAGTGAGCTCCCAATCACTGAAGGTGGTTAAGCTAAGTAGAGGCTTAATTGCAGGGAATTTAGGAAAAGTAAGTCTATCAAAAGGTTGGAGTCCTTGCTACCATGAAGTATGAACTAACTGATTTTTACTTAAGGGTATGTTACAGTTGCAACTCAAGAATAGTTGGATTTCTTTAGAAGCCAGAATGGCAAACATTTTCTAATTAATAAAGGTATTTCCCAGTATGGCTCTGATATTTATGTGATTCTGTGTTTAAGGCTATTTCCTCACAGGTACTATAACTTCAACATGGTTGACTACTAATCAGTGGTGATTGTGATTATAGAACATGTCTCAAATAATTAAATATCACATCCTAGTTGTAGCACAATTTTTCTGAAAATTACATCTTTTAAGCAGCATGGCTTTTTTTTTTTTTTTTTTTTTTTTTGGAGATGGAGTCTCACTCTGTCCCCAGGCTGCAGTACAGTGGCGCAATCTCAGCTCACTGCTACCTCCGGCTCCCAGGTACAAGCAATTCTCCTGCCTCAGCCTCTCCAGTAGCTGGGATTATAGGCGAAGGATACCACACCTGGCTAATTTTGGTATTTTAGTAGAGATGGGGTTTCACCATGTTGGCCAGACTGGTCTCAAACTCGACCTCAAGTGATCCACCTGCCTCAGCCTCCCAAAGTGCTGGGATTACAGGTGTGATCCACCTGTAACGTATTCACCACCAGCTTTTTAAAGTATTCACAATAATTATAAACCGTCATATGACATATTTAAAAGAATAATACAGTTTGACAAGATTTAAAGAACTATAAACTCCCAGGTATAACTTAATATGCTCTCTCTAACCCTTACTTATAACAACCACTCTATTAGTGAAGCTTTCCTATTTTAAGTAATAAACAACCATAAAACTTATACTAAAGATTTGCTTGGAGTACCTAAAGCACACTTAGGCACATAAACACTTCTAGCTCAACCTATAGCACTTCAGAAGTTGTTTCTCTAACATGGTACATGACCAGAGAATCCTAGATCCTAATATATAATATTTACGGTATTAGTTATTAATTAGCTGTTCTAATGCCCACTGTCACTAAACACGTATCTATATGTGGGAAGTGTTAGGACCCAGGACGGACCTAGTTTTTAGAACCCCACTTTTATGCCTACATGGGATTCCAACTGTCTAACTTCTTTTTTAAACAAACCAAAAAAGTCAACAACTCACTTAACACTGAATTAAAGCACAAAATAAAAACCAATATTTTTTAAAAAGAATATGGCAAATATTATTCTGGTAGCTCAAGTTAGCAGACTCCTTCAGATGCAAGCTAAAAGCTCATTACAGACAGGTCTTTTTTTCTCTCTCAGAGATAATACAGTATATGTGGGTGATGAGTTCTCACTTTCCTTATCAATTTCATCTCAATAGCTCTGCCAGGAATTCAGGAGGGCTCCATCTCCCTTGCAGATGGCACCAGCCATTCCCTTTCTGCCTTGCATTTCCATCACACCACTTTCTCCTCCTCCCACTCCTACACATCCAGCAGTCCTTCCTTTGCTGTTGGATCACCACATTGAGGAAGGAATAGGCACTATCTATCTATGTTCCATCCAGGAGACACCCACAGCCACATAATACAAGCACTGTCTCCATGAACAGCTGTAGTTTGCAGGTACCATAGAAAAGATACACAACCACATGGCTTTACCCCTGATTTACAGATTTCCGGTGAGTGTTTACATATTCAAAACCCAGCTGTTTTGCACTAAGCTATCTCCACACAGGTGGAATATCAGCTCAGCAGCTCAAAAAGAGGATCCAGAAAGAAGAGTTTCCTTGGGCTACTGCTATAGTGTTTGTTCTTCCTCTTTGGTAAATGCTTTGAGGCTAACTGCCTGAGGTTGCCACACTCTAAACGACATCTTCCCACCTCATCTTTCTTGTTCCCAACCTACCTACAACCACTGTCCCCTCTGACTTTAGACTTCAGAGAAACACACATATCCACTGTAAAAGGCTCCCTTTTGCTTTTGACTTGGCATTCTCGACCTCCAATGTTTAATATATTTGAGATACTTCAACTGTTAAAGGTTTGAACAGGACAAGGTTATCTGAGCCTTGAGCCTGCATACCAATTTTAGATACTTCCTTTTCAGTAAGCCCAGAGCCATGGTGATGCCATGGATATTTGACAGCCTTTGGTACTTTAACCCAGAACTTCATTATTCTACCTCAGCTTCATTATTCTACCTACGTTTCTTGCCCTACTAGTGACAACTGTCTTCTTCTAATGTCTACCGTGTTATGATACATTGCCTTTTATTTTTTATAGCATACTTATTTTACTTAATTTTATTCAAGAGGAAGAGGAACTCTTTAATGAAAGAAAAGTTAGAAATGAATATTTGAACCCTACTATGTGTAACTCTGCATGATGTTTTCAACATACCTTAGCTTATCCTTAATATTTAGATGACCTCAAATCATTCTAATAACATGCACAGCACCAATATGTTGCAAGTGATGGAGTCAGAAATTAAATCCAGGAAGTTCTAACTCAGAAAATATGCTTTTCAGCCAGGTGCAGTGGCTTATGTCTGTAATCCTAGCACTTTGGGAAACCAAGGTAGGTGGATCACTTGAGGTCAGGAGTGGGAGACCAGCCTGGCCAACATGGTGAAACCCTATCTCTACTAAAAATACAAAAAAATTAGCCAGGCATGGTGGTGGGTGCCTGTGATCCCAGCTACTCAGGAGGCTGAGGCAGGAGAATTGCTTGAACCCAGGAGGCAGAGGCTGCAGTGAACTGCACTCCAGCCTGGGCAACAGAGCAAGTCTCCATCAGACAAACAAACAAGCATGTACCCTAAAACTTAAAGTATAATAATAATAAAATTAAAAAAAAAAAGAAAAGAAAAGAAAAAAGAGAGAAGTTGGTGACCATGCAACCACCACAACTTTTAGTCATCGTAGGGATTAGCCTGATGATTATATCCACAGGAAAAAATACATAGTTCTGGTAAAAATTTTTTTTTCAGAATCAGATAAAAGGAAAACAATAAAATGTGGATATCCTTGTTTTAAAAAAAAAGAAAGAAAATAAATATGCTTTTTTCTAAGACAAACTCTCTCATACTGTTCTGCAATTCTGTAGACTGTAATTCTGTCATTGTGTGTACAATATTAAGAGGATAGACTTTGAAGCCAGAATGTCTAGTCATTGGTACCCATGACTTGTAGACAAGTCACTCACTGTGCCTCTGTGTTCTGTAAAATGGGGATAATACTAGTGCCTGTCTTCTATGGTTTCAATGAAGATAAAAAGTGTTAACATAAATTATGGCTTAGAACAATACCTACTGCATACTTATCACTATACAAATGAGACAGAATAGTTCCCTTGATCCTTTCATGGCCAGGAACTGGAGTGCACTGGCTCTTGGCCCGTCTCGCCACTTCGCTACAGCAGGGACAAACACCACTTGCTCAAACCCTCTGGATTCAACCCCACATGGGATGGAGCACACAGGCGAGTGGGTGTCGGGGCCAGGGTGAGCACTTTTGGGCTCTGGCCCCACAGCAATCTAGGGGTGTGTTACAACTAATGCTCTTTTAGCTTTGCTGTCCATGGACAGCTTAAGTGTTAAACAGCTCAGTGAAGAGTCAGTGTGACAGCCTTTTTGGGTTCCCACATCCAGGGCATCCTGAATTCTTGTCCAGTGTCCAGGAAGAATCAGGTCACACAAACGGTCTCAAAGGTGATGAAAACAGAGGATTTTATTAAGCAGTGGAAGTGGCTCTCAGCAGAAGGGGAGGTGGAAGGGGGATGGAGCAGGAAGAAAGTAATCTTTCCTGGAAGCCCAGCCAGAGACTGCTGAGCTCCTCTCCGAAGTTGTGCCATCTGAAGCTAAGCCACGTCTATCTGAAGTATCTGACACCCAGTTGCTTCTTCTCCTCTCTACGTTCAGCCACTTGCCTCTTTGCCAGCTGAGGTCTGGGGTTTATAGGGGCACAGGATAGGAGGCAGGGCAGGCCAAAAAGGTAGCATTTGGGAAGGAAAACGGGGATAACTGTTCTCATTTAGGGCGGCAGTTTCCAGGTTTGAGAGTGGGGCCTTGGCTGGGGAACTGTCCTCTTCTACCCAGTATTTCCCTGCCTCCTACCCATATCACAAGTATTCATCATTTTGGTAAATATTGCTTCCCAGATACATATAAGCTCTTGGAAAATCAGGTTAATCTACTTTTTTGTATTCACACTAGTATCACACAGGTACTCTGTAGTTTGATGAATTAATTCTTTCATTGACTAATGCCCTTACCACACAATGTAGAAACAGCTTCATCCATCAAGACCATTATTGTCAGGCTTGTAAGCATTGTTTCCAAAGCTTACAGTGAAGTTCAATCTTAGACATCCATACTTAAACAAGTTAGACCAGTGATTTTCACCCTTCCCATTACCTTCCTCTTCTTATATGTAAAGATCACAGACTTTAAATTTAGTATGGCAATAACAATATAATTGGCATTGCTCAAAGTATTAGAGTGGTATAAAATTGACATTGTTCACCATTCATTCACATGTTCATGTATTCATTCAGTCAAGAGACACTGGCTTTTTAGTAGGCATTATGATGTGTACTAGGAAAGATTTAGAGTCTAGAGATGAGTAAAGACAAATAAAACAAATAATGATACAACCTTATATAAGTGCTATCACAAATGAAGTAAAAGTTTAAAGAATTCTTCAACTATTTCAAGGAAAGTATCCTAAAGAAGTAACTAATATTTGAGCAATATCTGGAAGGATGAAGAGGCATCTACCAAACAGAGGCCAAAGGACATCTCAAGAGGAAACAGTATGCAGCACTCAAAAAAAAAAAAAAAGTGTCTCAGTAAAATTGGGAAATTCTGTGTGGCTGGTGCATGGGCAACATTGGGTGGATTTCAAGAGTTGAGGCCAGAAAGCTGGGTTTGGGTTCCAGATCACTACGTTGGAATGATTGGAGTAAGCATGGACTGGGGACAAGGAAATGTGTGAGGAGACAAGGGGAGATAGGATAGTGGCATGATCTCAGCCTTGGCATTGTGGCTGGAAAGGAGGGAATGACTATGACAGATCTTCAGTAAGTGGCATTGGCTGGATTGGTGATAAATGAGCAGTGACCAGGGAAAAAGACGAACCTCAAATACCCTAATTTGCCATTCTTGGTAATATATTTAACTTGAGCAGACAAATAAGGTTAATCTTTTTTTTTTTTTTTTTTTTAACCAGGCTAATGAGTATATAGAATCCCTCTCCAGCTGATCTTAAAATTTGCCACTTGGGATTATTGAGTTTCACTTTTTCCACAGTGTCTTTGGCTTTTGCTTACACATTCTTCTTCTTTGACCCAGTCTCATTACATCATTAATAACATTTAATTAAGCCCTGCAGCAAAGTGAGACCCTCTTCTCTACCAGAAGCTACACCGGCTTATAAACTGACTATACTCAATGTAACCTTGACTTCCCAAACAGAAACAGCTCTGTCTTAGACCTTGGATCAAAGCAGTCTTTCCAATAAGTAACTGTTAAAACACATCACCTAGGGTGGTTAATACACTATTCCATTTAAACAAGTGTCAGAAAAACAAAGAGGAGGCCAGGAGCATACATACTGAAGGAACACACAGAATAAGTTCATTAACATGATTAGAAACACCAAAAACTTTCCAAAGCAGCACATCCAAGAGAAGGTAGGTAAGAGCATGGGATGAGGGAAAAAGATGGGAACAGCAATTGGACACGAGGCACTTGGGAAGAAACAAATCCCCAAAAGTAGGAAATAGGACCACATGCAAAGAAGTCTAGGATACCTGGAATTCTGAAGGCTGTCTTCACATATATAGTAATAGCATCTTTTTTTTTTTTTGCAAAAACCTTTATTGGCAAAGCACTACTGCATCTGGTATTTCCACCACTTGCATTGGATATATGATTTAATCTCTCTGAGCCTTATTTTTCTCATTTATAAAATGGAGATGAAGACTGATGCTTAAAATCCTTCTGAGGTTCATAGAGTAAACCTTAGCAATTTCATTTCACAGGTAGATAAATTTAGATGCCCATATTAAGCGATTAATCCAGAAACCCAAGAACCTACAGAAACAAAACTGGAGCTATGATTCTCTGATTCCTAGTTCAGTGAGTATTCCCATTCATCTGTGGAGCTGGTCCAGCCCAGAAGACCAGTGAGTAACCCTAGGTAAGAAATAATTTGTAGAACACAGACAAATGGTGTTCACTCGGCAACCCTGCCTCTCAGCTAAACTAGGAGTTCTAGTGGTCAGGATGTGACCTCTCATGACCATATTGTAAGTCTTTCTTAGGAGCCCTTAAAACCTCATAAATCCATTCTTACAGACTTAAGAATTCATAACAGTTTAATATTGTCTAAATCCATAGCATGTGGCCACACCCATGGAATTTTTACATCTCCAGTTTTTGTTGTTGTTGTTCTTTGAGATGGATCTTTGCTCTTGTCACCCAGGCTGGAGTGCAATGGTGTGATCTCAGCTCACTGCAACCTCCACCTCCTGGATTCAAGTGATTCTCCTTCCTCAGCCTCTTGAGTAGCTGGAATTACTGGTGCTCGCCACAGTGCCTGGCTAATTTTTTTTGTATTTTTAGTAGAGACGGGGTTTCACCATGTTGGCCAGGCTGTTCTCGAACTCCCACCTCGGCCTCCCAAAGTGCTGGGATTACAGGCGTAAGCCGCTGTGCCCGGCCATCTCCAATTTTTTACATCCCATTTTATAAAACATGTACATGATAGAAATAAAATCCCACCAGGGCACCCACGTTTAACCCCAGACAACCCTGGCCACAATCTGGTGTTGCGCCTGCAAGTAAAATTTATTTCCACGCTCCATACCTCAGTAACTGCAGTTACTTTCTACATTGTTTTTAAATGCTCTTGAATTTTTCTCTGTGTAAAACATGTTTCACTTTGCATGTTCAATTATAAAATCTTCAAGCAAGCTTAATGGGATAGGGGATAAGGAAGGCCAGCCTAATTTAGTAAAAAGACTAAATAATGGCATTTTAAACGGTAGTTTTCTTACTTTCCCGTTGCTAAAACTGCCAAAGCATTAGTAAAATTTTTGAAGTAAGGGCTTCAATGAATAGATAGGAGCAGCTTTCAATTAGCATATGAATTGTTTGTAAGCAATAAGCAATTACCAGGCCTTTTAAAGGCATCCCCCAGACTTTTGTTGAAAACCTAGTTAGTGATAGAAATGAAGGAAATATTTGTCTTTAAAGTATTACAATAAGTACCCATCTTTCTCCCACAGCTTTGTTTACATTATCAATTTGCATTATCCAGACCCTGGAAGCAAGCCTTTGAGAAGCAAAAGTAAACTTCAGCTCAGATAGGGGAAATCTAAATGAAATCAGAATCAGATTCAGAAAAATGCCAAGGAGCTCCCAAGGCACAGTTGCCAGCTTATTCTTTTCTTTCTTTCTCCAAAACTTTTCTTAAAATCTCTCTCCCAAAAAGTCCTTCCCAAAGGCAGGTTTGATTCCAAGGGAACAAAATCCTCTATCCTGTGGTCTCTGTTTGTCTTAGGAGATAATGGCACATACATGAGAAAGACCTCACACACAGGGTCAGCAGAGTAGGTGACATGCAAATAAATGCTGGTTGGTTGTGAATTGTAAGCATATAATCAGTATTACTGGAGGATGAGAATAAGGTCACTATCAGACCACTGTTAAGTATTGGGCTGCTTCATTCCTCAAAAGATGAAGATTGATTAATTGATTGATTGATTTTTTAATTTAGCTCATGGAAATTAGTAACTTCCAAGGGACAATGCAGGTTTTCTTGGTGGTGTTATTTTTCTCCTTTCATACCTAGTCCCACAGCCCAGTGCAAGTTTTAGACAACCACAGACTAAGCAAGAAAAAGCCAGAAAACTATACCTCTGTTTTTTGAGAGATGCACATTTTTATGAGTGCACCTGGTTCCACCAATTGCCCAGAAGCACAGAACCAGCAGAAAAACCCTAGTTAGTATTCAGAGAACAGAAGTTTCCAGCACATTTAAAATAAAGTAGCTGAAATTGTATAATCAGAGAGCATCAGGAATGAGAATCAGAGAGTGGGCAATGAGTCTATTGGATTGATTATAGAGCTGCCCTTATTGCTACAGAGAACCTCTTCACTAAAGGCCTCTGAAGGGGCAAAAGACGACATTGATTGTCATCCCTGAAGAGCTGGTGCCACGCTGAGGAGCTCACTCTTGAGCCTATGCAGATTAAAGACAGTAAGGAAATACACCAATGATATGGCTTGGCTGTGTCCACGCCCAGATCTCATATTGAATTGTAACTCTCACAATTCCCACCTGTTATGGGAGGAACCCAGTGGGAGGTAATTGAATCATGGAGGTGGGTCTTTTCCATGCTGTTCTCATGATAGTGAATAAGTCTCACAAGATCTATTAGTTTTAAGAATGGGAGTTTCCCTGCACAAGCTCTCTCTCTTTGCCTGCCACCATCCATGTAAGATGTGACTTGCTCCTCTTTGCCTTCCACCGTAATTGTGAGGCCTCCCCAGCCATAAGACTCTTTTTCTTCCCAGTCTTATGGATATGTCTTTATCAGCAGCATGAAAGCAAACTAATACAGCCAACATGCTAAAAGTCATTGTGTCTGAATAGTGGAATTATGGGAAATTACTTCTTTTATGTTTTTCTATAAGTTCTAATATTTTCAGCAGATGGGCACTAATTTTAAACACAAATTTTTTATTAAATGTGCACTTTAATTAAAAAATTAAATATCAAGCACAATAATGACCTGATAACCATCTGGGCGGCCAAAAGAGACAGAGACAGAAAGCTCTCTCAGAGCTACCTCAGTTGGACACACCATTAGCCCAGGTAACCTGCATGGGAAATGGAATCATCTTTCTTAATAATTGTTACTATTTATTGGTGGTATTATAATAGCTAGCTTTTACTGAGAGCTGAGTCTGTGTTAGGGTACTGTACTAAGTACTTTATGTTTAATCTCTTTACTTAATTCTCAAAACATCCTTATGTGATAAGCACTATCATTATCCCCATTTACAGAGGAAGAAACTGAGGCTTGAGAGGTTAGATAACTGGCTAAAAGATCACACAGCAATTAGGTGACTATCAAAACCAGTATATAAAGCCAGATCTGTCTGAGTTCATAGTTTTAAGCCACTTGGTTCAAATCAAAGCAACTTTCCCGAACATTATATTTTACGCTTTTCTCCACTCTTGGTTGCTCCTCTTTCATTCGGGGTACCCTCTCAAACATAAGATTCTTGGTAGAAATTTGTATCTGTTTTGTTCACTGCTACATCTCCAGAGCCAAGAAGAGTGCCTGGCATATAATAGATACTCAGTAAACATTTGTTAGATTTATGAACAAACTTCAGTACATCAAATTCTAACGACAATATTCTATCCTTGAGTTTTCAACCTCATATGAGCAAATTAGTCTCCACATTTTTTTCATCTTCCACTCTGATCAAGACTGGCAAATTGTTCTCCAAACAGTTTTTCTTTACCTACTGGACTCATAGCCGGTCAACATGTCCCAGCTTTCCCTGCAGTTGAGAATGAGCTCATGACTGAGTTCTAGCCAATAGAATATGAGCAGAAGTGATATAGCTACTTCCAGATCTGGCCTGCAAAACCTTATCTTCCACATTCTGTTTTTTCATTTGTCAGCTGGAGGCATGACAGAGACAGTAGATGAAAGAATCTAGGATCTGAATGTCTGCATGGAGTAAAGCCTTACTCTGCTCAGCTGACCTGTACTGGGTCAAGATGTGAGCAACAAATAAACCTTTGTTTTGTTAAACCAGTAGATCTTGGTGTCATTTATTAAAGCAATTGGTCTTCCCCAACTAATGCACATCCACATCAGTTAAAAATTGTTTGTGTATATTATATATATATATGACCTATTCCAAAAAAAATATACAGAGCCTGCTCAAATAACATATATATATAAATTTATAAATCATGTACATGATCTATTGCAACATTACATTAACTATAAAACCTACATCAAAATATAAAATGTAAAAAGAATGAGATGTAGATTAATTTTTTTTAATTTCTTGCTAATCCTGTTGGTTCCATTGCATTACTAGGCAACATTTCCAGGTACAGTGGAACTTAGGGAAAGGTTAATCATTAACAATAGTGAAAACAAATTTATATTTCAAATGGTCTTCTTGATATTTGTGGTGGATGAGTTTGTATCGGTTCTGAACGTACCTTTAGTGTTTTCACCGTGGAATGTGGCTGGACAAAGAACTCAAATCAGGAGAAGTAACAGCTCGGCCACTTCATTGTTGCTCTCATACAGTGCTGGTTTCTCCTCCACCCACAGTTTCTTTGGGAGTTTGTATAAGACACCTGTCTATTTTGTGGATGTTGTTTCATGAAAATTAGATCACCTAACACATAAATCCATTTACCTAGGCACAACTAAAACGTGACGAGTGCCAGTTCACTGAAGGCCAATGAACATATGAAAGTACTGACATCAAACATGCCCTCCTTTCAGGATACGTATGACACATGTATCCATCTGACACATGTATACATCTGACATCAGATTATTTGAAAATGCCAGTGTCAATCCACATATAAAAATAGGTAAAAATATATTCATCTTAAAATTTTTCTTTTTCATTATAAAATAAGTGGAAGTTTTAGCACCTAGGAACCCTGCAATAGGCACGCCTTGTTTTTGAAACTGTTGTTCAGCAGGTGCTTTGGACAGCAAGTTCCATTACTCTTGAAGTTTGAAGTCCTTGATCTGCCTCCCAGCTATGCATACAGTAAAATGGCTGATGTCACTCTGCTTAAACTCTCTCCCACTGTAGCCTCCTACCTTACCTATCCCAAGGCCAGAGTTCTACTTCTTTACATGGGCTAGAAGCCCTGGTCTCTTTTCCGAGTAACATTACAAGTTATTAGTGAAGCTCTCTTTGATTTGTCCTGAGGCAAATCATAAAAGAAATAAAAGCCTATCTTATCCACTCAAGTACATACACATGCTAAAGATGGTGACTGGCAGGCAGTATGACTGGTGACAAGGCCCCAGGGCTACAAGTTATGATATCCAGGTGCGACCTGACTATCCCTTTGGTGAAGTCAACATAGTCCTTGTATTTCAGAAAGAATAAAGTGTTGTGGGAGAAGAGGCTCCTGAGAGCCCTGGCTTGAGTGGGCCACATGAGGGCTCCATAGAGGAAATCTTCACAAGAATTTGAGAAGGGAGGTTCTCAAAAACAATAAGCATTTTATCTGATGAGCATTTTATCCTCCAGGAAAATCATGAGGGCAGCTTAGGACAACACAGGATAAGAGAAGCCCTAGATGATTTCAGAATCGTATGCCCTTAATCAGGAGCCTTGAGAAGGTAAGTTCACAGTGGATGCATGGAAGAGCAAGCCTCCCTAGGCACTCAGAGGACAGAACACACAGCAGATTCTCCAGCCAGATAGCACCTTATCATGGGCCGAATAGGAAAGACCTGAGTGGAGCACTGCAATGGGTTTGGAAGTCAGGGCTGAGTTCAAGTTGAGGTTCTGACATTGACTAACTGTATGAGTAATTTAATCAACCTGTATGTGCCTCAGTCTTATCATAACTAAAGTGGGGATAATAATAGCTACTTTGTGTCATCTTTATGATAATTTAATGAAACAGCAGCTATACCTGATAGAATCCAGGAGTTAGCATGTCATAGGTTCTCAATAAAAAGTTCTCTTCTTCACAATCATTAATCACTCTTTTTGCCCTTGCTTAGCCCATCTTTAAAAGGAAATAAATGAGGCATAGCTATCATTTGCCAAGTACTTAAGAGCTAGGCTTGGCAAGTGCTTACCTACATCAGAGGTTAGAGGAGTGCTTCATGACGGGCCATGCAGAGTGGATGCTCACGCCCTGCAAGACTTTGCCAAGAAGTCACAGATGATGAGCAGTGAAAACAAAGCAACAAACCGGGCCAGGCTGGAAGAAGGGCAGGTAGGCAGCTGGCAGCCTGCAGCAGGAATGACCTTCCCGACTCAAGGATTCCCTAAATGAGGTGGGTGAAGGGCAAAGAGGAAGACAGGAGGCCTGGCAGATTGACAATAGGATCTTACTTCTTTATCAACAAAGAGGACTCACTTGGTGCAAATCATTAGAACCAATCTAACTTTTCTCATGCAATACCTATGGACTCAAGCCATGCCTAAGCAACCTGGCTCTCCACACCTTATATTGTGGTACTCTGCTCTTGAAGAAACAACCAAAACGTGTCCCTCAACAGTATCCCCCACTACCACAATCCTTCATGTGAATATAGCATCTTTTCATCATTTTAGAGGGTCTTAAAAGCTGCTTACCAAGTCCAAAGTCATGTGTACTGTTCCTAGGGAAAACAGTGAGCTTGGATCTAGCTGATAGCCATGAACCATATCCTTAAAACAAAACCAAATTCTTATAGATTTATGCAATTTTTTATAAGAGCACCAAAAGAGATAGGATAAGTTAATAATTATTGATATATCTTTCTCACCATGACTATACAACTCAAAATTATTTCCTTCTTAATAGATATGAAAAACATCCCTGTTAAGAACAGGTTGTGTCTGAAGTGTTCTAATTTATGCCCTTTGGAAAAAGATGATGTAACTCCTTCTTGTAAAAAGGAGAGGCATTAATTATTTAATTAAACAAAGTAGTTGTTGACTTTTTAAAGTGCAATAGGCAAATATTCCACAAAGAACAAAATTTTAAGATATGCGTATCTCTAGTTCCCATGCCTGAATTTGATCTCACTGAAAACCTAACCCCAGTTGAAAAAAAAAAATGTGTTTCAAAAGGAGGAATCTGAAAGAAGTTATGAGCAAGCAGAAACTATAGTTTCTTCTTTTTTTTTTTTTTTTTTTTTTTTTTTTTTTTTTTTTTTTTTTTTTTTTTTTTGAGACGGAGTCTCGCTCTGTCGCCCAGGCCGGACTGCGGACTGCAGTGGCGCAATCTCGGCTCACTGCAAGCTCCGCTTCCCGGGTTCACGCCATTCTCCTGCCTCAGCCTCCCGAGTAGCTGGGACTACAGGCGCCCGCCACCGCGCCCGGCTAATTTTTTGTATTTTTAGTAGAGACGGGGTTTCACCTTGTTAGCCAGGATGGTCTCGATCTCCTGACCTCATGATCCACCCGCCTCGGCCTCCCAAAGTGCTGGGATTACAGGCGTGAGCCACCGCGCCCGGCCTAGTTTCTTCTTATGATTTTTACTTAGCCTTTGAAAAGTACCTTGATGTGATTCCTATTATAATATAAATCCTAATAGCTTGACAAATAAAGGGAGCCGTTTTAGGAAGTCGAGGTGAGAGCTGTACCAAATCCAGGAAGGATACTTTCAAAATACACCATAGATAATACACTATGCCACTTAATGAAGTATTGAAAAGGTTCAAATTATTCTTGACTTCACAACAGTTAATATAAATGTCCCGAGTCAATAAATCTTGGTATTGATTAATCTACACTCTCACCCAATTCAATTTTTTAAGACCCACTAGTTCCCACAGGCAGAAGGGGCAGATGTGACAATAGCTATTTACAAAATCAATATAGCACAAGAGATCTAGAGAAATTAACTACAGGAGAGATGACCCATTAAATCATCCATTTCATCCGCATCTCCCTCTTGGCCCCTTGCAGACTATTCTCTTTCAATATATTTGGGCCACTTTATCTAAGCAAGTTGTACTGGTCAACAGATACAGGGCTTGTTCCTTTTCCCAAGAAACTTAGTCCCATTCCTTCCTTACCAATATGGAATCTTATGTCTTACTCTACATCAATGACTGTCAACTCTGATTGCACTTTAGAATCATTCAGGAAGCTTTTGATATATACCTGTATCAGGACCCATGCCCAGAGATTTTTATTTCATTGATCTGGGGTGGGACCTGGATGCTACTGGTATTTTTTGTAACAGCCCAGTGATCCTAAAGTGGTTAGTTCAGAAGGGGCTAAGATTCAGTTACAGTTATTCATTCTCCAGCTTTGAATGCTTTCTTATTGGCCATGTTAAAATTAACCCAACACTACCAGGCTCTCTGTAATATCATAGATGATCATAAATCAGTGAATCCAAGTTGGCTGAGGAGCATCAGCTGAGAACCACTGGGGTGAGAAATCATCATCACTGTTGGGAGGATGACATATACCTCAGTGGATTGGGGTACCTGAGGAAAAAGTGGTTGAGGTTTATGGCTTTAAACTCAGAGGGAAAAGACAACTTTCCCAAGTAACTGCATCAGGAGCAATTAACTACATGGAGAGCTGCCAAAAATAGAAATCCATCAGATTTGGAGTTCCTCTGCTGATCTTCTTAACTTTAGCTTTGAATAGAATAGAAAGAAAATTTAAATGTAAATATATTTTAAAAAGCATACATATACAATTTAAAAGCTAATTTTTCTTGAACCCTTACTATGTGCAGGCATTGTTCTAAGTACCTTACGTGTATTAACTTACCCAAATCTAGCATAACCTTGTGGGGTAGGCGCTATTACTATCCCATTGTGGAGATAAAGAAACTAGGCACCCAGGGCTACATGGGTAGTAAATGACAGAGCTGGAATTCCAATTTAGGCAGAGTGGCTCCAGAGCTCATGCTTTTAATCATTACTCTTAACCACCTATCAGTAGTGCATAACTTAGACACAAAGCAAACACCTTATGTTAAAAACTAAAAGCAAGTCTTACAAGTGCTAGGGTGCAATTTATTCAATAAACATATATAAAGCAGTGGTCTCAAATATTTGTATGCCTAAGAATCACTGGAATAGATTTTTTTTTAAACAGTGAAAGGACCCCGACCCCTAGACGGTCTAATTCAGTAGCCTGGATGGGGCCCATGAACTTGCATCTTTAAGAAGGTGGAAAAGTCATTTGACACTGTCAAGTTCCCTAGAGAAGCTCAGGATGGGGTCTGAGATAAGGAATTTTCACAATCAGGAGGGAATTAGAAGCCTTGAAGAAAGCCCTTTCAGGAAGCTGGGGTGTTGCGAGCTAAGCTGCAAAGAGTTAAGGAATGGTTATGACGACATGGAGTTGGTGAGGGGCAGCTCCTGTTCCTAAAACTTTATTGGTGAAGGGTATAGTACTTTGAGAAAAGTTATTTTTAGGTGAGGGAAAAGTGCCAGAAGAAAGGGAGAGATTAAAAATTCAAGAGAGACAGGGGGATATTGATGACAGAATAAGGTTCTGGAGAAGGCAGGAGGGTGCAGGGCAACCACAGCGAGTCCACCTGCCAACACCTCCACGGAAAGAGAGACCCGCCTAGATAGACAGACTCACACCAGGCCCTTGGCACTGTGTCTAGCAGTACAAGTGTGTATTTCCCAACCAGTACTTCAGAGCAAGGTTAACAACTATCTTAGGAACAGTTTTTTCAAAGTCTCTTGAAAAGTAAGTACCGCAGGGTACAATATTATCAAGGCATCGTCCACACCCTCCTGGGCTTTGCTTGATTGACATGTTGCTCCTAAGAGGACCATCAGCTGGCATGCAAGGAGTGTTTCTTATATGGGGATGTTGTTCTAATACAGTAGCTCAACTCTAGCTGCAGAACTGTCTTCATAATGTACAGGACTCAGCACAAAGGGAAAATATGTAATCCTTTGTTGGAAAATTATTAAGAATTTTAAGAAGCCAATGGCAGAGCATTAAGCCAAGTATGGGGCCCTTCTGAGCACGGGGCCCTCTGTGACTGCACAGTTGCTTATCCACAAAGCCTGCCCTGCCTGGCTGTACATTAGAATCACCTGGAGAGCCTTTAAGACGTCCACTGCCCAGGCCACACCTGAGACCAATTAAAACCAGACTCTCTGGGGGGCTGAGAACCATACATCAGAATTTTTTAAAGCTCCCCATTGATTCCAATGTGCAGCCAAGGTTGAGAACCACTGCGTACTTGTCACAGAATCTGACTTAATATCAGCTTTGAAAATCATTTTCTTTAAATAAATTCTATCTGGAAAAAAATATATAATGGCCCTACTAAATGGGCTGTAGACCCACTTACACAGTAATGAATTACATTTCTCCACCTACCTATGCCCATAAACTGGCTTAGGTTATTAGTATAAAGGAAAAGAATGTAAATCTCTTCCTATAATAAATACATGTATTACCATACAAACCAAAAATAAGAGATGGCTTGAGCAATGGAGACCATGCTAAATTCCTGCGAGGCCCCTTCCTGAATTTTCTTGGCTCTACCAGATGCATTCTTCCAAGGTCTGGGCACTGGCCCAGAGCTTGTCTACCCTTCTGAATAATGCATGACACAAGGTCCTTCCAAGCCACAGTGATCTTTGAACAGAATGCTCAGTTAAGGCAGGAGAATCTGACTGTCACCAAGCCCAAAGCCTGAGATTTATCCCAAGAGACAGGATCAAATGAGGATGATCATCCAAGCATCCTAGCTGGGCAGCAACCAGCTGGATGCGTAGCTACCCAAACGTTCTTAGCCACAAATGCAGCCACTAAGATGAGCTGACGTAGTAAAGACAGGAAAAATGAGACATCCCCCCAGGAATCTTAGACTCAACATGCATTGGAGAAGCCAATCTCTTTTTAGTGTTCTTGAAGCAAGCGGTTATACCAGCCCGCTCAGAATAGCAGCAAGGACTAAAGTTATTAATTCTGATGCAATCAGCAACAGAGAGACATGGAATGCTTTGTAGGTAAATCTCATGGGTTAGAATCCTGGTTCCACAACTTTGTTGCTGTGTAACCACTCTGTGCCTCACTTTCCTATCAGGAAAATTGAGCTAATAAAGTACCATGGAATTACTGTGATGATTAAATGAGATAATCCACACATGGTACTTACAACCACACTTAGTACATGGTAAACACTCAGTAAATGTTAGCCTAGCTACCATCCTCATTACCACCACCCCTACAGCACTCCACAAAACACTTTTGACTTTCTGTCTCTCTTTTTCCAAAATGAAACCAAGGTTCAAAGAGCTTAAGCAATGGGCTCCAGGACCCAAAAACCAGTAAGAGTAGTGCCCAGGACTGGAACTCATGTTTTCTGTCCTATATTCTCAACCCCCTCAACTCACCTGACTTGAGAACTGAGCAGAGACTCTCTCTCTCTGCAGCCTTTCTATGGGATATATGAGATGTAGTGCAACCATACCTTGCTCTAAGACTGAAGAAGATGATGTAGGATGCTGTCATATCATACACACTCAATCTAAGTTAGCTATTGCTATTATTATTGCTGTTGTTAACATATTGTTAACATACAATTGACAAACTTCCAGAAAAATTGCATTTAAGATGACCATATTCACCATATCATAGATTCATGTGAAGAGCTGGCTATCTTAGTGAATCCAATGTTAAGCCCTTTGGTAAAAACAGAATTCTTCCTGGTGAAATGATTAAAATCACCTAGCTTAACTATTCCATGCCTATATTGAGGCCTTCTGTATTGGCTATGCTTAAAATAAGAGAAGACATGCTTCCAAGCTGTCATGGGCAAGGGACAGGGCAAAGACGTGATTTTAGAAAAAACGTCCAACTTCAGAAACCTATAGTCCCACAACCAGAAATTCACCAGTAGGGAAACAAAGCCTAAAAAGAAAAGGGACCATGACCTCCATGTCTTTTTAAGATCCCTTGATATGATATGGCTCTGTGTCCCCATCCAAATCTCATCTAGAATTGTAACTCCCACAATTCCCACATGTGGTGGGAAGAACCTGGTGGGAGGTGACTGATTTATGGCGGCGGGCCTTTCCTGCGCTGTTCTCTTGATAGTGAATGAGTTTCGTGAGATCCGATGGTTTAAAAATAAAAAGGGAGTTTGCCCGCACAAGTTCTCTCTCTCTGCCTGCTGCCATCCACATAAGATGTGACTTGCTCCTCCTTGTCTTCCCCCATGATTGTGAGGCTTCCTTAGCCACGTGAAACCACGAGTTCTTCATTAAATCTCTTTCCTTTGTAAACTGCCAAGTCGCAGGTATGTCTTTATCAGCAGCATGAAAACTGACTAATACACCCCTGTCTTCAAGGGGGATGACAGCCCATCATGTCAAACCCAATTCACCTTCTATTGTCGATTTTCATATTGACACAGCTCTAGGCCCTTGGTGAGGGCCCAGAGGCACCCATGTCAGGGTTGTTCCCCTGCCATATAGGGAAAATTTCCTGACCAATCAAATGACGTTAAGTCACTGCATTTATTTTTTCATCCAAGTGAGTGTCTCTTCCAGAAAGACACCTGCCCTATGGCACCAATTTCCCTTTTTTGCTGAGTAGTCCAGAAAAAAATAAAATAAAAACTTAGAAACAACAATGAATTTGTGACAATTAAACTGGCATATAATGAAAGCCACAAATACATAATTACTATGTCCCATTTGGTACAATACACTCCAGAGTTGCCAAAAACTGCCCACTCTGATAGCAGTTGCCCTTACACAGGCCCTGGGTTCTGCAGCTGCATCTCAATGAGTCAAAGTCGGCTGCCTGGAATGGTTTCCCTGGTAACGGGGTTCTGGCTGAGAGGGACATTGATTACCCCGAGGAATGAGTTTCCACTTGGAGGGAGACTGGGTGAATGCAAAAGCAGAGAATTCAAAGGTGGAAGCAAGGACTAAAGGGGTATGGGAGTCACTGAAGACCTGGGAGGAGTCCCAAGTTTGTTCCTTTCTAGGATTGAGGAAAGTAATGTATATTTGGTTCCTTGTGGATGTTTGAGGTGAGGCATAGAATTGAAATATCTCATATCTATTCCTGACTTGCCCATATTCCTCATCAGGAGAATAAGGGCAAGCTGGACTAGTTGTCAAGAGGCTTGGATTCTAGTCCCATCTCTCTTATTAACTCACTGGGTGACCCTGGATAAATCACATCTACGTAATATCCAGAAAGTTAGGATCCAGAGATTTTTTAAGGCTTGTAAGATCATCAGAGAAGAGAGAGGGCCAACCAAGCCCATGAAGGCAAAGTGGGTGAGAATTTCTGTGTCAACAATTGGCCTTTCCCTTTGCAATCACAGTTGTAAAATTCTCCTCTCTCATCAAACATTCTCCAGAACTAAGTTAAGATTTTTCGCCACCTGTCTCTGAGGCTGCCTTTAAAGGAAAGTTTAAAGTTGCCCTCAGACTTAGCCAACTTCCACCACAAATGGAACAAACCTGAATGCTACAATGAATGAAGGAGCTCAACTGTTGCCTAGTGCTGGAAGCAGCTGGAGCTAGCCCTTTTCCTATTACGGTTATATGATTCTCTGAATGCCTCAACTCTCCTAACCAATCATGTATTAAAGATTGATAAATGACGTATCCGTAAAATCTCAGAAAAGGAGAAAAGGAAAAGCATTCTAGGTAGAGGGAACAGCGTATGTAAAGGCTCTGTTGGCAGGGCGTGGTGGCTAATGCCTGTAATCCCAGCACTTTGGGAGGCCAAGGTGGGTGGATCACTTCAGGCCAGCAGTTCAAGACCAGCCTGGCCAACATGGCAAAACCCAGTCTCTACTAAAAAATACAAAAATTAGCCAGGCATAGTGGTACGTGCCTATAATCCCAGCTACTTGGCAGGCTGAGGTGGGAGGATCACTTGAACCCAGTTTGAGGTGGAGGTGGCAGTGAGCCAGGATTGTGCCACTGCACTCCCGCCTGGGTAATAGAGTGAGATTCTGTCTCAGGAGAAAACAAAAACAAAAACAAAAAAGACTCTATGACTGAAAGAAATGGGTTCATATGAGGCCTGATTAAAAAAAAAAAAAGTCAATATGGTTAGAGCCTATTGCACAAGCCAGCTCCTGCCTATCTTGTTCTCCCATCTCTCACTGTGCTCCCTCAAAGGGAGAGATAAGGGAACAAGATAGGCAGCCTTATATGGTTTTGTTTTCATCCTAAGCGTTTTGGAAACTTTGGCAGGGGAGAAAGGTGGATTTAACGTGAAAATATTTTATTTTGAAAACATGAATTTAGTTAAGGACATGAGGAAACCAATTAGGAGTCTATGGTCATGATCCAGGCAAAGAGATAATGTTGGCTTAATGGATAATTTTCAAAAGGTGGGGAGGGTTCACACATACGTAGGGGCTGCAGCCTCTTTCTTCTTACCTGGTTCAAGGTAGGGTCTCCTGGTTTCTCTGCCTCACCTTGTTCGGTGTCACTCCCTGAGACTTGTGTGCTGACCACTCAGGTCTCAACCTGGAGAACAGATTCCCTCAGCCCCTTGGTAGCCACTACCTCTGTTTTCTTACTTTACACTGATGTCTTACTCAATTAAAAGCCTGGTCCCTGCAGAGATTTTCTAGTCCTTGTTCCTTCAGAGAGCACATAAACCTTCTTACTGGTTGTTGAATTTTTATTCCATAACAGTCACTTGCAATAAAGAGAGAATGTTTAGCAAACACACATCTTTCAGGCATGGTAAGACACTGGATGCCAAAAGGTGATGTAAGCTCTTCTAGAAACAGGGAAACCTAGTCCTAGAACTCTTCATGTATCCAAAAGTATTCTAACAGCTGAGGGACAATTCTTTAGAAAATTGTCCCAATGATCATTCGAGATTGTATCTGTCTTAGGACTGAGTACTAAGCATTCAGCTGCATGGGGAGCGAAAGAGGCAGTGAGACTTTGGCATCTCATCTCTCAAAGATGAATGATTTGGTTTCAATAGACTAGGAGTGGCTAGATGGGAGAGGCTGGGACAACAGTCTGGGGCAAATGTCTGCTCTGAATTTCACAGGGAAAGGAAGTGTGGCAACCACATATTCTTTCATACTTCTCTCATCAAGAGACAGGGTCTGTGTCCTCTGGATCCTATGGCTGCTTTGGGTCCTATGGCTGCTTTGACCAGTGGAATACAATGGATGTGATACTATGCCATTTTCTCTTCCAAACTCCAGATGTCTACAGAGGCTTCCACCTTTTGAAGATACAGAGATAAGTAAATTAGATGATCATTCGTATTTCAAATGGATGCTTCCTATTTCAAACAGATTTTCATTAATAGTAGCTTTCCTTTTGGGCAAATCTATTAGACGGCAACAAAAGAACCTAAAGCTACAGTGTGAACAGTCAATGACAAGTAAATATCAATCAGAAATGAAGCTAGAAGACTTTTGAAATAATAGTGCAGGTCACTGAGAAAAAATAAAGGACTTCATTTTTAAAGGTCTGGTTTATGAATGGCCTTTTTAAGGAATATAATCATAAACTGAAGTCAGCCTTCATAAACTACCCAGTGCACTGTGACTGCCTTTTTCTATGAGGAACCAGAAGTTCAGGACTGTAGTTTTATTTTATCCCCTTACGAATTTCAATCTGTACCTCCCCTGAGGCTCATCTCCGAGGATATAGAAATTGCCCATTTCCAGGTACAAACATCTCTGGAATTGCTGTCTCTCCCTTAGTCCCAAATGCCTAGACTCCTTTATCCTCTTCAAGCCACCAGAGGAAGGGATATACATTTAAAATGTTTGCAGATTTTTTTTTCTTCAAAATAGTTTTTTCTCAGGGTCTAAATGTTTGTGTTCCCCCAAAATTCATGTGTTGAAACCTGATCACCAATGTGACCCCAGCCTTTGGAGGTAGTTAGATCACGAGAGTAATACCCTCATGAATGGGACTACGCCCTTATAAAACAGTCCCCGGAGAGCTGCCTTGCCCCTTCCACCATGTGAGGACACAGCAAGAAAATGCTATGAACCAGAAAGCAGGCCCTCACCAGACACAGAATCTGCTGGTGCCTTGATCTTGGACTTTCCAGCCTCCAGAACTGTGATGAATAAATTTCTGTCATTTACAAGCCACTCAATCTACGGTATTTTGTTTTAGTAGCCCAAATGGACTCTAAGACACCCCAGTCAAAGAGAGCACTGCAGTGAAAAGTGAACGTGTGTGGGAACCAGAGACGTGGGGTCTTGTGCTTTCCCTGACTTTCCTTAGCATTATAACTTGCACCAGCTACTCAGCCTCTCTCCAGTCCGGTTTCCTCATCTATAAGAATAAAAATCCATGTTGGACAAGATCATCTGGCATGTCCTTCTAGTCCTAAGAATCTAGAATTTTACCCCTTTTGCAGGGAATGTGATCGATCCTTACTCCCTGCTCATGACCTTAAGGAAGAGTCAGAAATTCCCAGCCCAATCCCATCCTCCTTTCAATGGCTGAAGCTCTTGGATCACTGTGTTGACAGGAGCAGATTGCATGCAGATTTGAGGGGAGCAAAACAGCTTCTCTCCCCCAAGTTAGAGAAAGATGAAGCCTGACTTCTGTGCCTTTGCAGAGCCTTCCTGATGACAGCAAGCCCCTCAAGGGCCTGCCCAGCTGATAGCCGTGCTCTCTGCTTACATCTAGGTCTCAGGTGCCACAAAGCTTGCAACCACTGAGATGTTTTCCCCTTATGTCCTCACTCAGTCTCTCAGTTAAATACAAATCTCTCTTATCTCAAAGTGATTTCTGAGATGGCAGAAAATCCAAGGAGTTGCTTTTTGTGCCCTGATGTCCGCACAAAGCCTGTTGACAGTGTGGAGGGTAAATCCCACACCCCTCCCCAACCCCGCCAATAAACAGCCCAGCCAGGAGACCAGGTTTCTTCAACCAGGGGTCATGGTGGGCTCAGACTCAACTGGAGCTATCTAGAGTTACTAGGAGAAGGTCACCAATGGTGCTACATGGGCATGGGGGCAGGGTAAAGTGTTGGCTTCTTTGTAGTGCTTACCCAGTGGAAACACACAGAGCAAGAGCCAGGAAAGAGACCTTCCAGAGATAAGGACATATAGAGGAGCTGGGAACATAGTGAAAAGAGCACTGTAAGTTAGTGAGCAAGGGATGGATTGTTCAACAAATACTGTGGGGTAATTGGCTTTCAAAGGAAGAAAATAAATAAGAGAATCATATTCCCTACTTCTTGCACCACACACAAAAATATATTCTGCTGCACTAGAGACCTAATGGTCAGAAGAAAAACTTTAAGACTATTAGAAGAAAATATAAGGCAATGCCTGCTATCTTTTTTTTTTTTTTTTCTTTTAAGACAGAGTCTGACTCTGTTGCCCAGGCTGGAGTGCAGTGGTGCGATCTCGGTTCACTGCAATCCTCTGCCTCCCGGATTCAACCAATTATCCTGCCTCAGCCTTCCAAATAGCTAGGACTACAGGTGCTCGCCAACACACCTGGCTAATTTTTGTATGGCAATGCCTACTATGTTTATGACACCGAAATAGGAGGAGATTTTTTTTAATAAGGCATAAAAAATACAACCTATGGAGAGCCAAATTAATAAATTTGCCAACATCAAAATGTTAAAACCTCTTTTTGGCAAAAAAAAAAAAAAAAGAAAAATACCAAAAAGTTAAATGACAAGAGATACACTGGGAAAGATATTATATAATCCTTTCCAGTGAAAGGAGTGGTTATCCAGAATAATAAAGAATTCCAACAAATCTAGGAAAAATAATGACAAACAACCCAAGAGAAAAATGAGCAAAGCATATGAACAAATAACTCACAGAAAAGGGAACCTCAAGACCAATACCCAGATAAAAAGTTGCTCTTTCTTTCTGGTAATCAAAGAAATGCAAAGAAAAATCACCCACATCAGAGTGGCTAAATTTATAAGGCCCATAATAGCAAGTGTTGGAGAAGACATGGAGAAAGAGAACGTCTACTATTGGTGGGAATTTTAGTTGGTACAATCACTTCAGAAAGTCTTCGGCAGTATGTAATAAATTTGAAAATATGTATTCCTTAAGACTAAAAATTCCATTTCTAGTATATATCCTAGAAAGGTCCTCATTCATGTATGCAAAAACTGAAATGTTTGCAAAAGCTAATAACTGTAAACAATCTAAATGTCTACTACTAGAAGAAAGGAATGTAGTATATTTATTGATAGAACACTATACAGCAGGCAAAAATAGATGCCCTAGAGCTAAACATATCAACACTATGTAGAACAATTTGCAGAAAACTATAGAAACCATTTCTGTGAGTACTATATAATGTTTATGAACACTTAACTATGAGACTAACATAGGAAAGTCTGGACTACTGTGATAAATGCCAATTCCTGGCAAAGATTGCCTCTGGCAATGGAGTAGTGGATGGAACTAAGTGGAGAAACTTTACCTGTAATTTTTTTTAATTTTTATAATAAAAATAGATCTGAAGTACATAAGATACAATGTAAATATTTGTTCATTCTGGGTAATGGGGTTTTAGGGGTTTGTATTATTCTCCAGATTTTTCTATTTTAATGTTTTCAGAAGCAAGGAAAGAAAAGCATATAATGCTCTCACATTGTATAGAAACTCTCACACCCTAAATATGTCTACATTGTTCCCTCCATCTCACTGCCTGAGCTCAGACTTTCATCCCTTCTCATACAGGTCATTAATGAGCCCCCTGCCTCATGTTTCCACCTCTACATTGTTACCAGGGTGATTTTTCTGAAACATAAATCTTTTTTAAATTGTTGAAAAAATGCAAATCTAACTGTCTTAATATAGACCCTTCACCTTCACCTTCAGAATAAAATCCTAGCTTCTTTGCATGGTAGACAAAACCTTCCATAATCCAGTTTCTGCTTCCCTCTTTGGCCCCAAATACCAGTCCCTGCCTGTCTCCCACGCATACCCTGCTCTGGCCACATTCACTGCCCCAAAGCCCCAACTCCTACATGCTTTTGTTGGGGTGCCCTTTCCCCCTCCCCTTACTATTTGTCCTTCAGCATTGGGCTCAGCAATCTTTCCTGGTCATCCTAGCTTGCATTCAGGGCTCTTTCTCCAGCCTCCCAGAGAACCCTTTTCTAACAATTTTTTTTTTTTTTTGAGATGAAGTTCCGCTCTTGTTGTCCAGGCTGCAGTGCAATGGCATGACCTCGGCTCACTGCAACCTCCGCCTCCCTGGTTCAAGCAATTCTCCTGCCTCATCCTCCGGAGTAGCTGGGATTACAGGTACGCACCACCATGCTCAGCTAATTTTCTGAATTTTTAGTAGAGACAGGGTTTCACCATGTTGGCCAAGCTGGTCTCAAACTCCTGACATCAGGTGATCCACCTGCCTCAGCTTCCCAAAGTATTGGGATTACAGGCGTGAGCCACCATGCCCCATCCCTCTTCTAACAATTTCAATAGTTACCATACCACTCTCTAACTGCCTTCTCCCTAGGGAGATTTGGAGCTTCAAGTTGGCAGGAGCTAGGTGTCCTAAGGCACTTTCCCCATGCCATAATTAGTGCTCAGTAAATTTTGTTCAATTAGTAAATTAAAATATGCATGCAAATATGAAACACCCACTGAGCACACAGTAGCACCCTGAGTTGTGTTATTCATTCATTTGACAATGACTAGGAATAATACTGGTAACAACAGCTATCCTATATTGAGTGTCTATGAAGCACTTGCTAGTCCTTGAAGGGGAATGCAAAGCAAGGATGGGACATATCTTTTGTCTTCAAGGAGCTTACAGTCCTGCTGGAGAAATAATACTAAGACATGAAGCAACTGAAAGCCTATAACTAGACCGCATGTAATTGAAAGCTAAAATGAGTGACACACAATCCAGATTTATCCTAAAGCATTTAGATAGAGAGCTACTTTAAAATGAACATGTGGGAGAAATTGTGGAAGAAGATAAATGGGGACTCGGAAAGGAAGAAAGGGCTCCCAAATTGCTGACACTCATTCCACATTTCCCAGCTAATATCCTGATGGGAATAGGCACTGAAGGCTGGAGCAGGCCCAAATCAGGTTAGGCCTCCCCATGAATAACTGCCTGTCAAAATGTCCTGTATCCCCAGGATTCATAATTTAGGGAGAAAAAGGGGTAACATTGGCCGGCAACTTGGCCAGACAGCCCCAGTCTTGCCCCTGCACCAGAGCTCTGCTGTTCGAACCAATATTCGTTAGCAGGCACAATGAGCTCATTTCACGCATGTTCTAATTAGACAATGGAGATTATTACAAAACACCTGCAATGTTTGTAATCATTTAAAATAATGAGAATCAATATTAGCTTCTAAAGGCACCACATGGTAAATGCTCATTCCAGGCATGTGGTCCCTGATAGGCTCTCAACGCTTCAAAACTGATCACTAACAATTTTTAATTTACAGAAAGTTGCTCTTGGTTAATAAATTGGCTGCTTGTGTGCCCTCTGCACAGTGACCACCTTTACATGATCATTTAGTTGTAACATGACCTCGGTGCCCACTGGAGCACTTGGGGTCTGCCACAAAGGACAGCCTCTGGAGTCCAGCACCTGCAAATATCCTACCCTCACCAGCTACTTCTCAGGTGTCTGACCTCCAAACCCCTAAAGTCGTGGTGCTACAGTCACCCACAGAGCTCATGAAAACACAGAGAGGTGGATTCCGCCCCCAGAGTTTCTAATTCAACAGGTCTAGGGTGCTGGCCTGAGATTCTGCATTTCCAGTAGGTTCCCAAGTGATACAGATGCTGTTGGTCCGGGGACCACACTTTGAGAAGCATGGCCCCAAAGAATGATACGCAGCCTTACACTCCAAGGTAACATTTTCCTCATCCCCAAGAACCATATGGGGGAAGAGTGAAGATTAAGAATAAGATGTTAGTTTCTCCCATGCTTCCTGAGCAAACTTACAGGCCACACCTAGTGAGATGAGCAGTGAACTTCATGTTTCATGTGTTGAGCTGAATGTTGTGTTAGGCATTTCCACATCTTGGAATCCTTATCGCAAGCCCTTGAAAGAGTAAACTAAAGTACAGACTTATTCAGTGTCAACTGGCCAACAAATGGAGGGGTCAGATTCAAATAGGGGAGGCTTTTGTCCCCAAGTTTTATGCTTCTCAACTTAGAATGTGTATAGGAATCCCCTGGGAATCTTGTTAACCGTAGCCTCTGAATGCATAGGTGTAGGCTGAGCCAAGAATTAGCATTTCCAAGCTGTTCCCAGGTGATGGTAATGAATAGTTCTGTATCTGAGAAAACACAGAGGACCTGGTGTGGTGAAAAACATGAGCTTTGATGCCATGCACACCTGGGCTCAACTGACTTCCGACACGTTTTTCCTAGAGTGATTCAGTTAATCTCTCAGAACATCAGTTTCCTCATCTACAAAATGGGAATACCTACTCCATATACTTATGAGCTAAATGAGGTAATACATGGAAACCACATAGCATCCTAGTACCCTCTCGCCCCCTCCACAAACCCTTCTGCAACGACTCCACTCTTCTTTGTATTTCCCTTCTCTCACTTCTTATTATCCAACCTTTTGAGCCAGGGAGGTTGGGCAATCTTATCTCCCTTTCAATGGTGAGGAAATCACGAGCTTCTGATATACTAAGTACACAGCCAGCCTGCAGCAGCTCTCAAAATACAACCAAGGACTCCTGATTCCAAGCTAAATGCTGTTCCCAACGTCACAGAGACTAAGGCCTCAAGGGGCTCTAGTTTGGTGGTGAAGATAATAAATAATCAGAGAGTTTTGTGGCACAACAGGGTCAGGTCTGTTGGAGGACAACAGAGCTCTGTGGGAGTCCTCAAGCAGGGATGCATGTCTTGTATTCCACCTTACCTTTTGCTATCTGGAAATGGGAATATGGGTAGGGGAATGAAGGGGAAATTTCAGCGTGGCAACAGCTTAGAAAGTATACATTGTCTTGTCTCTATTTGGAGCTCTATTATCATCCAGGGAGTGGCTTGGTAAAACACTCCGTGGGATAACATACAGGACACATCTTAGCCCCAGGCAGTATGCCTGGAGAAATGTTGTACACTATCAAAAGAAGAAAAACAGATAACACCGAAAAATCATAAGTAAGATTTATTGCTCACGAGCAGGTAAATTCACTATGCTCCCTGAGCACTTCCTTTTTCTTCCTCCTTTGCTGTTTTAAAATACATAAGACTGTTGTTTTAAATTGTCCCCATAAAACATTGCCTGCTACAGAAGCTACAATCAGGGATTCTCCCAGCATCCGCATTTGTCGCCGGGATTGTAATTGACGGCAATTCATAAACTTTTTCAAAATGCTGTGAACGTAACTTCAGGGGGTTAATAAAACAGTTTTCCACTCCTCTACTTCTTTCCATTGATAACTTATTCAAATTGTAATTGCCTGTAATGTGCACCCTCTATCACATTACTACTCACGCCCCATGCAGTCTCCCACACCATCCATCACCCTTTGCTGTCAGCAAAGTCCTCATTCCTTCCCTGCACGTAAAAACATGACTGCTTTTCTTTCCACATTTAGTGGACAAGCCTCTGCCCACATGCCACCTGCTCCTGCTCCCTCCCACTGGGTTACCAGGTAGAGATTTTCATTGTCTCCAGCTCACTTGGGGGCAGGCATTTAGTCTCAGAGCTGTTTGTGTCTCAACCACATGTCCTGTGGCATGGAGGCATGGTGGGTTAGGTGGTTTGGGCAGAGTTATCTGAGCAGGTGCAGACAGTGCAGTAACAGTGCAAGGCTCCCCTGGGTAAGGTGGGGTGTTAGAAGGATCACAGATTGAGAAGTCAGAAGAGCTCATCTCACCCCAGTTGTATTGTGTTCTCTGTGTGAATGTAAGCCATTTAACTTCCCTGATCCTGTTTCCTCACCCAGAAAATGGGGGCCCTAATACCTGCCCCCTATTCCACAGGGCCACTGCAACTGTTTCAAGGAGTCAATGAAGCTGACTTGATTCACACGGAGCTGACATTTCCCTCCAATTTTTCCCCAGTGGAAATAGCAAGTGATTATGAGAATTACTGAGGCAGACCAGGAGACCAGGTAGGGAGGAGACCAGGCCCCAGGTAAGAGTGGGGCCTGATTTTAGGAGCAAATACAAAGGACATGAGACTTAGGCCAACCTTCTGGAGTTGGGAAGATGGACATCTGATTCCAGTGACCCTAGGATGGGCAAGAGCCGCAGTCAAGACTGTAGTCAGAGATCAGCCAGAGGTTGTAGGGCCTTCTGGTTGCTGGGAGAATCATGCATCAGAAGATGCCTGCTTTTCCCCATCACCCGTGCTTCAGGTCTCAATAGAGCATCAGCAGTTTCAGATCCCTGTTGCTGAGCCAGCACCCATGGCCTTTCCCTCTCCTGAGCATCCCCTCTTAGCCTCCCAAGTGTCCCAAAGCCTTTAATGGCCTTCCCATTTGAAAACAACCCCATCTTCTCAGAAGTCCCTGACACATCTGCCCCAGGCCCTTCAGAGCTAGAGTAGGTACAACACTCAGGGCCTGTCCCCAGGGACCTGATGCTACAGAAAAGCAGCACTTTGCTCCCTCCAGTTCTTTCAAGTCTCAGTTTCCCTCGGTATTGTCAACATTTTTTGCAACAAGTGGCAGCCGGTTTGCCCAGCAGGTGCCTGGATGTAACCAGGAAGAAGAGAGGAAATCTCAGAAATTGCCAGGAGACTTATTTCCCAGATCCCTCAACATCCCAAAACGGGTTCCTCTTTATAACCCATAAGGGAAACCAATTGGTTTGCTATATCCATCGAGACTGAGAAGTGGTAATAAAAGAGAGGGGAGGAGAGAGAGGAAATCTCTCCCTAAGTCCCACAGTTAAGCCCCTGCCCCTTTGTCTGAGCCTCTGGGAGCCCCCAAGTCCCTTGGGAAGAGGCAGGTGTAGGAAAATGCTCTTTTCTGCAGCTGCTACCACTTAACACAAATCATTAATTTTATCTTCTTAGCAAGTGCAAAGTGTATCCAATCCCACCGACTGCTGTTTCAAAATCGTAAGACTTAGCATTCCCTGGTAGGACTTCCTCCTGAACAAGACTGCCTTCCTTGTGCGATTTACATTAGCAGGGAGTCTGTTATTAGCTTGATATTTTATCTCTGACACTGTGAGAAATATTGCTGCCATAAACCCGGGTGCCCTTAGTAAAAGCTGAACTACTTGGCAAAAGCTAATAAAGCAAGGAACAGTTAAAACAATTGGCTATGAATACCTAAGCAGCAAATATAACAGCTGCCCCCCAAGTGTGGGCCACAGGCATGTACCCACACACAGGCACACACATGTACACACACACATGCGCATGTGCATGTCCTCCCTTATCCCATTCCCTAGACATCTCACAATTCCCTTTTCTCCTGACTTACCTGATTCATACCCTCCCAACACAATTCTCTACAGTGCAAGGCTCTCACTTGGTTTATTCCTAAGAACTGGTGGAACCAGGCTTTCTAAACCATGACAAAGTTGTTAGTGCAGTGGCTCTCACACTTTCAAAGGCCTAGGAAACAATTGGGGAGCTTGCTAAGGATTCAAATTCCCAACCCCCTTTCAAAGAATCTGAGAGTTGAGATGGGGTCTAGGTACCAGCATTTGTAACAAGCACTCCCAGAAGGTCCAAAAAACCATACAGCAATGAACGCTATATTAGCAGGTGCACAGTGAACAGGATGATAAGCAATGTCGTGTCCATGTACCATCATTCAGAGAAAAGTGGACCTCAGAACAAGGCCAGGTAGACTCAGTGTCCATTTCAGATTTGGTTATCAAAGTGCCCCCAAGAAGTCTCAAACGAAAGCAGCCACGTCAGAGCAGCAGCTCCCCCATCCTGAATGCCAGTGGTAGCCCGGCTTTCTGTGTATGTGCCTCACGTGCAGGAGGAAGGGAGGATGCCTGCTCAGCTGTATTAATGAGCATGTGTTGTGAGTCAGTGGGCATGCCCAGAGGAATTTTAATAAAGTCAGCATCTCTTTCTCTGGCTTTGACTACCTGTTTAGGAAATGTTGTCATGTGAGAGAATCCTAAATGCAGTTGCTGGAGGTAAATGCTGACTGCTTTATTTGTGGGCCCTCATTGGTTGAGAGACTCCAATATGCCCTAGGGTAGGAATGTTGGATGTTGTTCCAAGGATAAGTCTTGTCCACCAGCTGCTTAAATTCTGGTGCTGAACCATGAAGAGGGCAAACCCACATGTGTGTGCATTTTTAACAAGTGCTTTTTTGCCAAGTGATAAAGCCAGAAGTAGAGAGGTGGGCTTCATTCCGAGGGCTAGCAAGCCTGCTTGGAGCCAAAGACATGCTGTGCTTCTCGACCCTGGATATCTAGTGGAATCATCAAGAAAGTTCAAAATAACAATAGCCACAATAGCCACCCACTGCAGACGTTGCAACCCAGGGGGATGAGGCCAGGCACAGGTATTTTTTTAGGGTTCCTCAGATGATTCTAATGTGCAGCAAGCATCAAGCATCACTGCCTAATAGAACTGCCAGGGAGCTTAAAGCCATGTGTTCAACCTTCATTGCAACTGAATCTCCTGGGGAGCTTTATAATACATTGATGCTGGGGTCCCATGCCCAAAGATTCTGATTAATTGGTTGGGAGACTTTTAAAGTCTCCCCAGGTGATTGCAATGTGCGGCCAAGGTGGAGAACAGTGGGCTGGAGGAGGTTTTGTGCTGGCAGCTGCCTGCCCTTTGTCTCTGGCTTTAACCAGAGTGATCTAGAGGAAGCACCAGATTTTTAATTGAGACTGAATTTAAGCCTTAGCTTTGTCACACACTCTTGCAGTGGCAACTCAGGCAAGTCATTAACACTCTGAAACTCAAAGCTCCCTTAAAATTCTATTTCACAGAACTGGTGTAAGAATTAAATAAAATCATTTGAAAGTACTCTAAAGATAGTGGCCTGCCATATAAATATTACTTATCTGGCTGTTTTTACCCTTTCTTAGCCAAAAATCAGTTTCTACAGGATTTATACATCAGTAGGAAGGTAGAACATGAGCGATTTGGGAGAGATGCCCACAGATGGATAATGTCAACATTGATGCTTTAATGTTTAAATTCAGTTTTGTGCCATTTTCTTATTTGACCCTCATCATAGATAGAACTGTGAGATTATGATATTCCATATTAGAGAAGAGGAAACAAAGGCTCAAAAAGTTTATAGTGTGGTGTTGATGTAAGCATCACCCAAATGGTAGAAGCAAAATTCAACTTGGTTGTGTTGATTTAAGACCCCAAGCTCTTTTCATTATACTCATGGTTCTCAAGCTTTACCATGCAACAGATTGTTGGACCCCACCTCTAGATTTGCTGATTCAGTAGATCTAGGGTGAGGCTCAAGAAATTTGCTTTTCTAACAGTTCCCAGTTGTGGCTAGTCTGGTAGCCAAACTTTGAGAACGACTGAACTATGCCAAACTTTCTCTGATGGCAGAGAATCACCCTGCAGAATGAAATAATTATGACTGTGGCAAAAAGTGGGAGGCAGGGGGAGTAGATAAAGAAATGAACAATCTAAAGTGTTATTAACCACCCCCTGTTTTTAAGCATATGAGCAAACAGGCTCAGTGAAGTAAAATATCCTATCAAAAACACATAGCAAGTGTGCTTCCCATCACATCAGAGATGGGTGGGGACCAGGAAAGGGGTACTAGAGGCAAGAGAAAATCTAGGAAAGGCTTTGGTGCTGTAGACACATGAGTAATGAGTAATTAAGAATTCAAGGTCTTAAGCATTTGAACACCAATGTATTAGCTATGTGACTGGACAAGTCAACACAACTCTCTAAACCATAAGTTAATTGTCTGTAAAATTGAGAAAATAATAGTACCTAGCTCACAGGTTTGCTGAGAGAACATTTAATCAGATAATGAATGTGAAACATACAATTTACCTGACATATATGTAAGCACCCAAGAAATGTTAGTGGTTATTTATAATAACTATTATTATTACTATCACCATCTCCACTAATGTCACCCTCGGCAATCTTGGCACCTAATTACAGAGGGCCACGAAATGTGGCCCTAGCAAGCACTTCCCAACCCTGTGCTTGTATTCCCTATAACAATGCCTCCCTAAAAGTACAGAACAGAATGGCATGTATTTCTCAAGTTCAACTAAAATAAAATGGATATTCCTTTGAGACTCTTCTAACTGCCTTTGAGTTCAGTGGAAATACGCTGTGTTGTCACCAAATCATTATTGTGGGAATTGATTGAGAGCTCAGTGACATCTCTCTCCCTCTCTCTATCCTGGTTTGCCTGGAACTGTCCTGGTTTCAGCAATGAAAGTCCCACATTTCAGGAAATCCTGCAGGCCCAGGCAAACCTGGACAGTTGATAAAGCAACATCTTGTTCACACACCTAAATACCTTTCAGTAACATGAGTATTTTAGTTATTGACATTGGCAAGCACACCTTACGTGTAGAGAGCAAGGTAAAAACCAGCTGGCCTACTCTAGGCAAACATATGAGTGAGTTAGAGCCCAACTTCCCTATTCTGGGGTTCTCTGTCCCCTCAAGAAGGGATCCTAAATACATTCACTCTGGGATGTAAAGACTGTTTATCAGCTTAACAGGATTCCTAGTTCAGGGAATTTGCATTTCAATAGAGAACCAAATATTAGTTGAAGATCTGAATAATTACGAGCAGAGAGAAATCTGTGTTTGGCAGTAAGGGATTTAGTGCAATCCTTTCTGAACTCCTGAAATCGTAGACTTCTAGTACAAGCCTTCCCTTCCTTGCACCAGAGATTATCTTTACAGAAGGGAGCACATGAGAATCACCTAACTCAGGGTCAGCAAATGACAGCCAGCCACAGGCCAAATCCTATCCACTCTCAACTTTTGGAAATAAAATTTCACTGGAACACAGTCACGCTCATTTTTTACATATTGTCTATGGCTGCTTTCCTGATAAAACACCAGCTGAGTAGTTGCAAAGGAGGCTCTACAGCCCACAAAGCCAAAAATATTTCCTATCTGGGCCTTTACAGACCTAGCTTCTTGTTACTCATATTGTATTCCATGGACCAGCATGGGCATCACCTGGGAGCTTGTTAGAAAGGGAAAATCTTGGGCCCTACCCCAAACTTCTAAACCAGAATCTCCAGGTGATTCCTGCACACATGAGAGTCTGAAAAGCATTGCCCTAGGAGGCTTTTTCAAATTACCCATGTCTTGGACTACAAATTCTGGGGACCAATTCCCCCCAAAACACCCACTTATGCCCTCATGAGAATCTCACCCTCGGAAAGCCACTATTACCAAAGTTGCAAAATAAAATACAAACTGTCCAGTTAAATGTGAATCTCTAATAAAAAACAAATACTTTTTTACTACAAGCATGTTCCAAACATTTCATGGAATATACTTATAATAAAAAACTGACTCATTATTTATCTGAAATTCACATTTAACCGAGTGTCCTATATTTTTATTTGCTAAATAATGCAACCCTACCAAAGGGAAAGCTTGCTATCGTTTATTTGGGCTAAGCAGGTATAAAAGTACTTACTTCCTATAACAGTTTGCCTTCGAATGTGGCTGCCAATCACACCACCCATCAAATCAAGAGATATCATCTATTTCTCCTCTCCATGAATCTGGCTGGGCCTTTAGACTTGCTTTGACCAACAGAAGTGGGCTTAAGTGATGCTGTGTCAGTTACAGGTCTTGCCCTGAAGAAGCCTAACAATTTCTATTTTCATTCTTTTAGAACCCAGCCAACATGCTATCAGGAAACCCAGGCCATCTTTCTGGTTTGAGGAGCCGCAAGAAGAGACCCTGGAAGACGAGAAGCCACATGGAGGAGAACCAAGGGTCTCAGCCTCCAGTCAACACTAAGGCCCTGGATGTGTGAGAGAGACCTTGATGAAACCCAGCCTATCTGCCAGATGAATGCAGCTGCATAAGTGACCCCAGCAATAGACCTGGGGCAAACTTCTGAGTCAACCCACTGAATCATGAAAAATAATTGTAGTTATAAGCCATCTGTTATGCAGCAATAAATAACTGATATACTTCCCCTGTCCCAAAGTAGACACTTGGCTTCACTCCAAAGAGTCCCTTCCTGTAAGGCTACACCTGGTAAAGGAAACATACATCTTCGGAGATGGCCTAACAAGGGCTGGACTGGTCCTCTTGGGAAAAGGCAGCCTTCTCTCCTCCACTCACTATCTTGGAGGAGACAATTCTGTTGCCTGCCAAGTTGGTGGCTGGTTTTCTCAGTTTCCCTTCGGGCTTGCAGATGCAAACTATGCTTTTGATGAACGGATATTTCCAAGGCATGATTCTCTCCCAGAAACCCGTACAGTCCATTGGATGAGACCTGCTTTCTAAGCCATGAACAGCTTTCTTTTTTGCTATCTTCTCACTCATTCTTGCCTCCATGAATTTCAGCTGTTGGTAGACTACAACTTGTCTTCCAGTTACCGAAGATTCTGGATTAAAAGGGAGAGTCTAATATCTCTCTTTCTGTCTCCCTTTGTGTCACTGAAAAGGAGAAGGAGCACTGAAATTCAAATTTAACTGGGTGACCTGAGACGTACTTCTTCTTCTCAGTGCTCCTCATCTACTTTTCTTCAGGAATTCCAGAAAATCTTAGAATCCTCTTTAAGAAAGTCCCTGGCACTAATTTCTGGGGTCAACATGGCTGCCTAAAGATATTTACTTCTATCTGGAATCCTAGCATCCAAGGAACTCATCTTAAGGGTCCACATGTGTACAGAGGAGGGATTAGCTGGGAGCTCCTGTCTGCCAGCAATTTCAAAAAGGCAATCCCTTCTTGACTCAAGCAGTTGGATTCCAAAGAAATCAGCAGTCCTATTTGACCACCTTACCTCAAAGCTATTTTTTCTCCTCACACTTATGGCTAGAATAATCCTATGTCTAAGGAAGGGTGACCCAGGCTCTGCTGACACCCTTCCCAAACACACCACCAGACACAGTCAATGCTATATGTGCACCTCCTCTCTAAGGGCCTGTGTCTGTTTGTCACAGAGCTATGGAATGATGTGGACATCAGGCTCTAGAGTAGCATGGACCTAGATTTATAACCCATCTGCTTACTAGCTTTGAGACTTTGAGCAAGATTCTAAACATTTCTGTGCTTCAGTTTCTTCATCAGTTAAAATGAAAAAATAATGCCTGCTCCCATGCGAAAATATATTTAAAAGGCCTGGCAAAGTGCCTCACGTGTGGTAAAGATTCAACAAATAATATTTACCTCTTTCCTTCAGCTTCTCCAACTAAGGTGTCACAAGGTTTAGTGGGAGCAGCCAGCCCCTAGGCAAATAGTCTATTTGCCCTTATCTGTCCTTCTCAGGTAAGAAGAGCAACTTGTTTGACCACAGAGGACTGCAGACCCAATGAGGCCATAATATTCCCCTTTTGTTGAGAGGTAGTTTGGTCCAATACAAAAAGCCAATAATTCAAAGTCAGGAGCCTAGATCCGAGGCTCAGCCTAACCACCTCCACCACCTTGGGCAAGTCACACAACCTCTCAGAAACTGGATTTCCTCATTTCTAAATAAGGTGAATGAAACCACAATGAAGAGGCCCTTTCAAGTGTTAAAGTGTTAAGTCCAAAATTTTCACCTAAAAGTACCAAAGCCTAATTTTTGTGGTCCTGGATTCTGCTCTCATTTCTTTTTCAGTCTAACTTGGGGTAAACTTCTGAGTCAACCCACTGAATCACGAAAAATAAATTGTTGTTATAAGCCATCACTTCGTTGTGCAGCAATAAATAACTGATATACTTCCCCTGTCCCCAAGCATCTGAGTGGGTCGGTTGTCCCACTTGCACTGTAGTTTATTTTATCTACTTTTGGAAACCTAGCTAGTCTGCACCAACCTCTGCCCTTTCTGTCATTTCCACTTCTAGGCTATCCATCAGGTGGCTTGCTATGGGACAACTACAGGGCTCATTGATAAGGAAGAGTCCCCATTCCCCCACCAGCAAACACAGGCCCAAAGGGGCTCTAGACCCTTGGACTAGAAAGGACTTTAAGACTGCTCTGTTCAATAGGAATTTCTTCAGTGATGGAGATGTTCTACCATTCTGCACTGTCCATCACATTAGTTACTGGCCACACGTTAAACTAGTGAGACTGGGGAAGTGAATTTTGTTTTTTTCATTTTCATCATTTGAAATGTAGTCACATGTGGCTAATGGCTACCATGTCAGATGGTGTTGCTTTGAGGGAAATGTTACAGAGATACAGCATCAAGGGCAGCCCTGGTGGAAGTCACCAATATGTCTGTGGATGGCATTTACTCTTCTGGGAATAATTTAGTCTTTGAGGACAGAAAGACCTGGCTCACTCCTAGCAATAACAACCTAAACACCAAAGGGAAGAGAGAAATACACAATACTCACACCCCATTCTCCATCCCCCCATCCATGTACCTCCAGCCCACCTTCCCACTGGGTACTCTGAAGTCACTCAGTGCCATGACAGCCTAAGCTGAGTCAGTCATGACCCTCAGGATCTTAGACTTTTTGACTGTGAGTCCACCCAACTATATACTTCATTGCTGCCCCAAACATTCCAGATTCATCTGTTCATCTCTGGTTCCTCCAAACAAAGGAAGTTTAAAAATCATGTCGCCAACCACCTGGGAGAACAATATCAGTACTATATATACGGCCTTCTCAGAGCTTTAGGAATGTAGAAATAATTAGGATGTTTGAGAAAGCTAAATTTCATTTAGACCTTCAGTGCTTAGAGAAAATATCCAGTGCTCTGCCTAACACACAGGGTGAGACAGCCTTTGAAACCCCAGAGCAAGCCCTATGCACAGGCACATAGCCACCAATATCTTAAAGACTCCCTTGTTCCCTCACTGTGATGGAGGCAGGAGGCTGTCCCTAAGCCTAGGTGAGCATTTACTTTATCATCCCCAAAGCTGGTTAGCTGTTTTCCCTTCCTTTCTGTCCCTGCCGTTCCCATTACCTTCCTTTTCTCTCATAACCCCCATTGCCACCTTCACTAATTATCCCTGGTACCTACAACCCAGTAAAACCCATAACTAGGATAAGTGAGCAGCTCTTTGCTCCAGAATGCTAGAATTTGGATGGTGTGAAAATAAGTGGTATCCCTGAGCTCAAGGTTAAAGGCAGGGAGGTCATGTAATTCCCTCTGTACAGTCAGGGAAACTGCACCTCCCTCTTCCATTTGGCTCTTTGCTCTCCACCTCCATACATGTCCATTACTGTGAAGGCATGCCTGCTGCCTCCCCCAGTAAGTGAAATTACTGCTAGTTATTATTTCGCACCTTAAGACACCACTGAGGCAGACACCAGGCGTGCTCAGAAAAAAGTCTGGGCACTGAATTCTAGAAAATACAAAAAAAATAGAAAGGGGCTTAGACTAAATTCTAGAAAATTCTAAAAAATTAGAAATTCTAGAAAATCAGAGAGGACCTGTGCTATAAACATACAGATGATCCAAAGTCTACCAAAATTTGCACAAGGAGCAACAGAGACCCATAGGATTCAATGACCTGGCTTAGAGCCTAGCAGAAAGTCATTGTCCCAGTCCAATGAATTGCATCACAACAGGATGCTGTCCCCTAGCCATCTTCCCCAAAACTGTTCTCATAGGAGAGCAGATAAGAGGGAACCCTGGGGGTGGTCATATGTGGATACTGACCCTTTGAACATGCTGGGAGCTGAAAAGACACCCCACCCATTGCACCTCTGTTACTAACAATCATCTCAGATGAGTCACTCAACCTCTAGAGGCACTTACTCTCCTCATCTATCAAACAATGAGCAGAGGATGTCCACTTAAGACCTGTGGAGTATATACTTGCTCAGTTTCAGAGAAGGAGTCCCTTCTCGACCATAAATATAAACCCAGGAGCCTCCTAGAATAGAAGCAGCTCCATGAGAGCAGGGTCTTGACCTTAATCCCCTGTTCATCCCAAGTACCTAGAACACTGCCAGGAGCAAAGCAGATGCTCGGTACACACTTGCTAAATAATGAGTTTGTCTCCTTTCTTCCTTCTAAAATACCAGTTCAAACTCAGGCCTGGGAAGAGAGGCACAGCTTCGAGTCAACTCAGGACCAAGGACGCATAAGAAAATGCAGCTACTGGCAAAGAGATTATTAACACATTAAAGATAATCAGACCAATTCCAAGAACCCAGGTCCCAGCCTCACTGCAACTCCAAGTCAAATACAGGAATTCTTTAAAGCGTGGTCTCTAGAACCACTTACACCCAAAAACAAATAAATGAACTTCCGTTTTAAGTGCAGATACCTGGCCACAACTCCAAACCTATTGAATCATACTCTATGGGGGTGGGGAGGAGGGACCCAGGAATCTGAGTTTAACTTGCTTCTCCAGTGATTCTGAGGAGCTCTGGATTTTGAAGACCACAGCTCCAAAGCACATTTTCCTGAGTCTACTTTGTGGAGTTCCTTTTTAAAATGGAAAGCTGGAAGGCTTTTGTGAACCCAGGCAAAACCTTCAGAGTTAGGGTTCTGGTTACCTTAGCGATGCTCTCTCTAGACTCAGGCTTTTCCCATTAGCCTCACCTGACTGCCTGTGCCTTCCCCAGCAGTTCCCAGATTTACATTTCATGGAGCTGGAGACAGGGCTTTTCATGCAGAGAGTGCTTCGGTCTCTGAAGTCATTTTTGTCATGACTCAGAGACCTCAGTAGACCTCCAAGAGCTGCAGACAACACTTCCCCTTTATGCTCAGCAAACTAAAGGCAGGTGGGAGGAAGGAATCAGGCCACAGCTGCCTTCCTTTCAGCTGCTGGCTATTGGGAACTGCTGAATTAATGTGTCTACTTTATTTTACTCATAATCAAAGCTTTTGAACTAATGATACTAGTAATTAATATATTATACATTAATATCAATCAATCAATCAGTCATTACTAAACACCTGCCAGGTGCAAGGCACCAAGATAGGGGAGAGTGACAGAAAGGGAGCCTGGCTCAGCTTGGGCAGAGTCCTGGCCCTCAAGGCTTTTACAATCTACCTTGAGAAATAAGAGATCAACATATGAAAAGATAACTGATGATTTAAAAGAGCTGACAGAGTGCCAGAGGGCCACAGACAATGGGTAAAACTTGAGGTTTTCCTATAAAAGTCTTAAAAGGGAGAGAAAAAAGGGAAAATAATGCAACAGCCTTTTTCCTCCCAAGGGAGCCACTGCCCACCACTTAACATTGCCCAATTATTTTTATCATCTCAAGTGCAGACTTCAGGAGAATGTTTTCTGAAACTCAAAAGGGATTTAGAGGGAAAGAAGTTGAACATCTCAAATCAGGAATTCATGGGGTAAGGGTGGGCTTGAAACTAGAGAAGAGTGGCCTTGGGGTGAGAGCCTGGGATGACGCCTCCCCTCATTTATGAAGTGAGGGGTATCCCCTGTACCCACCTTCAATCCACCTCCCCATTCCTGTTTCCTTCATGGAGAGCGATTCTCTGGTCCAAACTCCTGGGGTTGCTCTGAGGATATAATGTTGGCAAAAATTTCCACTGCTCCGTCCAGCCCTAGTAGGTGTTTCAATAAGTGTTTACAGAATCATTAAAAAGGCAGCTTTTCTACAATAGGTAAGCTCAGTGTCCCTCTTACTCCAACAGGGACAAAGAAATAGGACTCCCTAATTACTACCCATCCCCACTGAGAGGTCCAGAATTAACAAAGTTTCCCTCTCCTCTTCATTCAGACTGTGGTACGTAAACTTCTCAAATCTCCCACTTTGCTAGTAAGAAGTTTTTAAATACACATTCTCAATGAACAAATAATTTATAAAATATAAACACATATTAAGCACTTTAAAAAACAAACACGCACACACACAACTTCAGACGAGATCAAAGACAGAGATTCTGACGTGTTCATCCTACATCCCAGGGGATCATCTTGTATCATCCTCGGGGAGGAGCCCTCCCGTCTTCCATGGGAAGACAATGGAACCCATCCAGGTATGAACCTCAGATAGATGGAGAAGCAAGTGGAAGGGACCTATGGCTAGAAGCTTGATCTGAATCCACCCTTAGGGAATATGAGTTCTGACACAAAGTTAGGAAACTCTCACAGGAAAGAAGTGATTCTGGAAAGTGCCCTGGCTTTAATCACCGTCTGTATGCTGGTGACCCTCAAGTGTATATCTCCAGCCTGACCCTCTCCCCTGAACTGTAAGCTCAAACCCAACCGCTTCCTCAATATCTCCTCTTGGTTAGCAAACCCAAATCTGGCATCTCAGATATAATATGACTAAGCTAGACTCTTGCCCTTTCCCTGTAAATTGTCTCCTCCTCCAGTCTTCCCCATCTTGCTGAAAGGCAATACCTTCCTTCCTGCTGCTTAGGATAAATACCTTGGAGTTCTCACTGATCCCTCTCTTCTCACACCCATATTCAATCCAGCAGCAAATACTGCTGGCTCTACCTTCCAAACAAAACTGGAATAGAACCACTCTCACGCCGTCCACTGCAGCCACTCTAGCCCAACACCCACCTCCTCAATCTCTCACCTGGATTACGGCAGGAGCCTCCCAAATGGCCCTGCTGCAGCCAGAGGGATACTATTAAAATACAAGAGAGATTCTCTACACAGAACCCTCTGTTGACTCCCCATTCTCTCAGAGTAGAAACCAGAGTCCTCACAGAAGCCATCAAAGGCTTATAAAATATGCCCCCCACACACACCTCAACCACTTCCCACTCTAATTCCTAATCTGTAGGTCCCTCCCTATGTCATCATCATTCAAATATCCAAATATCATATCCTCAGTGAGGTCTCTCTAACTGCCTTATAGGAAATTGTTTTCCATCTCTCACCCACATTCCAAATCCCCCTTTCTCGGATCTATTTTGTTTCTACTATAGCACATATCACCTACCAGCATCTATCTATGTATCTAGCTAGTGTATTTATTGTGATTTTTCTTTATGTGTGTACTTCTCTACCCTACTCTCCCAGTAGAATATAAGACCGACAAAGGCAGGAATATTTTTGTTCATCTTATTCTCTGATACATCCTCAATTCCTAGAATGGTGTCTGGCACACAGTAGGCACGCACTAAATCTCTGTTGAATTTGGACTTGGAAGTCACAGCACAAATCCCTCAAGGTACTGACCTCACAGGCCTCCCTTACTGTATATTTCCCAATAATTCCTTTACCCTACACCTGGCTGGATGACCAGTCTCCCTTAGGCCTGCAGAATTTACCAGAGTCCAAGACCCTGCCAATCTAATGCCTAACAATCCAAGGAGCAAGAGTTCTGCCTTAGGTTTGGATGCTCTCCAGCAACAACTAGATTAGCACTTGCAAATTTATCCAGGGACCAAATCAAGAAACACAATCTTTGGAAAGGCCCAGCACAGTAAACTCACTAATGAAGCTATGCACGATCTCATTGCACACAAACCACTGGCACAGTAACTGTAAATTATTCTGACCTCCGATTAAAGTGGTCCTGGAGAGTCCTCCATTTTATAGGCAGGCTGGCCTTACAAGTAGGTTGACAAAGACCACATGAAGAAAAGGTCAAATGCTCAGAAAATTACAAAGTGTGATACCAAGATGGGACTGGCCCCAGACAAAACTGTCTCCCATACCAGTAAGCCAGGAACTAGAATTCTATCATTAGATATCGATTCCTTTAAGTCACAATAATTTTTAAATTGTTCAAAGTTGCCTTTAAAAGATTACAGTATAGGAAGTACACTTGGGTTAGATGACACTTAAAGCCTTTATCAGCCAGTTCCATGGAAGGGGGCAGTGTGACAGCTCTAAGAAAATATGGTACAGGCTGGGTGCAGCGGCTCACTCCTGTAATCCCAACACTTTGGGAGGCCAAGGCAGGCAGATCACAAGGTCAGGAATTCGAAACGAGCCTGGCCAACATGGTGAAACCCCATCTCTACTAAAAATACAAAAATTAGCCAGGTGCGGTAGCGCACACCTGTAATCCCAGCTACTCAGGAGGCTGAGGCAGGAGAATTGCTTGAAACCGGGAGGCAGAGGTTGCAGTGAGCTGAGATCATGCCACTGCACTCCAGCCTGGGCAACAGAGCAAGACTCCATCAAAAAAAAAAAAAAAAAGAAGAAGAAAAGAAAATATGGTAAAAGATAGGGGCCAAAGGCAAAGAGGGCAACAATGATGGGGAGGAAGAAAAGAATTGAAGGGAGATAAGGGAAAAGATATTTATCGAGGGTTTGCCTTATGCCAGGTATTCCACTATCTGCTTTATGTATGCCAATTAATTTACTTTGAAAACACCATGATGAGGTCTTCATTATTACTCCCTTTTTAGAAGAGGAAACTGAGGTTCAGAGAGGTTAAATGACTTGCCCAAAGTCACACAGTTGATAAGGATAGAGGCAGAGCCCTAATCTCAAGTCTACTGAGCTCTGAAGTTCATGGTTTTTTCTCAACATCAACCTCCAGAGATAGTTAACACCCAGCTGTTTCATGGTTTTCTCTCTAATTGGCCTGGCTGGCCATAATTACATGGTCCTTGTTTTAAGGTTGCCCGTAAAACTGTATATTGATGCAGCAGAGTGAAATTCCAGATCTCAGGACAAAACTATTTTTATATTGAGTAATCAAGCACTCTCATTCCAATACATCAAATGATAACAGCTTACCCTCTGCACACTCCCCAGTCTTTAGGATGTCAGTCATTGTCCTTCAGATGCCTTCTACTCACCAGTCATTTCTTTGGAAGTGAACAGCATTTCCTCCTCAACTCACACATCCTGGAACTCTCAGGCTACCTGTTCCAGGAAGTAGCCTTCAATCACAATTTTCTGGATTATATTCAACTATAATTGGTCCTTTCTGGGAATAAAGCTGTTTCAAAGATTTGGTAAACACTCTGCCTTTTTATGTTGCTGAGATTGGAGCTACCTCATGCGGCCACGTTCTCTGCCCCCATGATGCTTTGCATGTTTGCATCTTGGGATCTTGGAACATTTTCAAACTAGTCTTTTCATCTCATGTCTTTTCTCCATCCCATTTTTTCATGTTTTAAATGCTGATGAGGTAATACTTTTGTTCCTTTTTTTATTAAAACAACAGTACTTTTAAAGACAGTGCTCAGTAGCTAAACTGGGAGAAGGGTATGATAGAAAAAGAAGGCTAATCATGCCTCGGTCTTTAAAACTCAAATCCAGCCAGGCTCTTCCAAACTTTAGTGAAGGTTTAAGATTTAATCATCCTCATTTCAAGCCTAGAGTATCAGCTCTAAAAGTCAACTCATATATTTTGGTGACCTTTCTCAAACTGGGCTTTGTAAATCCTTGTGGTTATTATTTGACATTATAGACTCATGATGAGCAAAATATCCTGCATAAAATCTAAGAACTAGAGCCCTGACCCTTTAAAATTTGCATGCTCAAACACAAAGGCAAACAGATTCTGACTCCAATGTTTCAAATATACAAGAACATAAAACTGGGAAATGTTAGGAAATGTACTGATATATTTTATTTAATAAGGGGCAACAGGTATGTACTTACAGAGTAATGAAAAACTGCTAGTAAATTTGTATATACTATCAGTTCGTTTGCAAAGATATTAATGAGGTTATATTAACATCCATATCAATTACATAAGTGTATAATTACAAAGATTTTAATTAGTTAATATAAAAACTTTAAGTCTTGATTCTAGATATCAGCCCATTAAGGGGTTGGCTAATCTTAGAACCTTCCTACAAAGTGGAAAAGACTGGACAAATTCAAAAAACCCAAGTATATCATACATGGCAATGGCTTTCAGCACTATGGCATACCTTATTTCAAGGAAATACATTATATTGTAGAAACAGCATGGAATCAAAAATTTAAAACCTGAGTTTTAGATTAGCTCTGAGATTAATGTAATATGATGGAGTAATTTTTTCCCTACTAATTGTCTGAGAAAGATTTAAATTTGTTTGGGAAAGGCGTTAGAGTGGAAGAACAGTGTACCAAGCCCACCTAAATTAGGTGGGCTCCTTCCATGTGAAATGAGAGGAAGAATTTTCTTAGTGTTCTGGAGGAAAAAAACACCAGAAGGAGAGAACAGGAAAGAGAATGGGGGTGGGAGTGCAGAGTTTAACTCATAAGGCACATTGTGGGGACTCCTGTCAAGCTTAGCCAAATCTCTTAGGGTCAAGGTGACTGCAGCTGACATCTAGGTCACACTTACCCATTCCTCAAGCTCTCTCTGTTTCAAGAAAATGAAAGGGTGAGGAGATTGGATTAATTATCTCTAAGCTTCTTTAAATTCCTAAGATTTTAAAATATTCTCTGTTTAACTGTGTCACTAGGAGTACAGAAACCACCCTACCGTATAAAGAAATCAAACTCTGCAACCATACATCAATACTGAGCCTTCCATTGCATATGGTGGACGGTACACCAAGTATTACCCTGGGAGCATCTGCTGTTTTGATGCTCGTAACTGCAATAATAACCATTGTATGTGTAATTGGAGCCAGGTTGATGAAATCTAATCACTATCAGTGTTCCTTCTTGTGAAGCCTCTGTAAGTCTAATTCTCAACAACCCTCAAATTCCAAAATATTATGAGAAAAATGAGCTTCCTATTGTCTTCTTTCATTTGTCGAATCAAGAAACATTTAAAGAGCAGAGAGAAAACAGTCATGGGCTTCCAGGTGCTGATCCCAACTTCCCCAAAAAACCTCAAGGACAGAGGTAGTTATATCTTCTCCTTGGATATTAATTCCTACTGGATTTTTCCCCCTTCTTTTTGGCCTAATGCACAAAACTGTCAGTAGAATGGGAGGCATTTGGCAGTGACTGCAAGAAACAACTGTGCATTTTATAACAGTCCATTAGCGCAAAGCTCTTAATGAAAATGAAAGCTGTTAATGAAGCCAAAAGGCAGTGGAAGCCTTCATTCTGGAGAGGGCAATTAGATAGGAGCAGGAGGGAGAAAAATAAATACAAATCCAAAACAAGGTACTCTGTGATCAAGTATTACACATGATGTAATCATGACAAATCAGCCAATTTATTTCCTACTTTTTTAAAGAGACATATACAAACACTGAAAACTGTCATTCTTCAGGTCCCCAAGCTTCCCCCTCAAGCCCTCGTGTTGCAGAATGATTCAACCTCAAAATTGTGGACCCATTGACACTTTCAAACTAGAAACAGCAAGTGGGATTTTAACTCAGAGAAGGTTTCCCTGTAGAGTGCCAGAATTTAGAGCAAAGTGAGTCACGAAAGTGAACTTTGTAATTACTATATTATTTTTATAACTCCTATGAATCAGAAGCTCTCTCATTTTAACATGCTGTAGACAAAGGCAAAGATTGCAGGAGAATAGTCCCCTGCCAAATACACTATTTCTGAGTAGGATATTTCCTGTGAAAAGACAAGTCTCTAGAAACTGTGCAGCTTCTGGAATGAACACAAAAAGATCTGGTTTTTTTAAAGCTGTGATGGAGACCATGTGGCAGAATCCTGTCCCCACCCCTACCCCAAATGCCTGCTGCACTTCCTCAGCAGCCTAGGTTTGCAGTTGTAAGATAGTACCTTGCCATGTATACATGTCAATCCTCAACTAGATTTTAAGTTCTTTGAAAGTGGGGATATCATCTTATATGCAGGTAAGAAATTATCTCAAAGCCTTTCCTTCTTTGCCCAGAGAGACTTACACACTTCCTCTTGTAGCATCTCCATCCCTAGCTCTTAAGCTGGATTAAAATTACATATCTGGAAAATTCTTGATATCAAGAAGGACTGGTGTGGATATTTATGCATCACCTCCATGCTTAGCCCATTAATGTGCCTATGTTGAACACAAATACTTGTGAAATGAGTGACTAAATAAATGATCAAATTCAATTGGATAGTTGTCTTTACGTTTGCATTAGCTTTTTTTATTTCCCAGAGACAAGCTCTTGTTTCATTTTTTAGTTCTATTACATGGAATAATTATGTCAATTGAATTCTATTGCGTCAAATAGTTGAATATGATGCTGTGGTTAATGATGATTGATGCAACTCAACATCTTCCACCCCAGGGAACATGAATCAAATCTCCTATTAGTTACCATCTGGGTACTTGAGTAGTTGCTGGAAAATCAAAAGAAGCTTACCCTGAGAAATAGCTTTAACTGGAGAGTCATCGTCTATTGAGCGAACAGTCAAAAACGTCTCATGAGAATTATTTTTTCCTAGACTGCCTAGGAACAATTGGGATTTTAACTCACAGAAGCCTTCCCTGTAGAGAGCTATGATTTAGAGCAAGATGAGTCTTAGGAGCCTCCACCCACCCCATCCCCTGTGTGTCGGCTTTGTTATGTGTCAACTTGGCTAGGCTGAACTACGTTTCCCAGAATTCTCTTTCTTGAATGTTTCTGCTTAGAGAGGGCCTTAAGGAAGACTCTTGGGCAATTTGGAGGATAGAGGAAAAGCACTAGCCATTTTGCAGCCCATACACATTGTTGCTGATGTGCTGATTCACCTCACTGACATGAAGCAGCGGCTGGACCTCCAACTGCTCTACATTCCCCTGGATCCTCCTTTAGCACCTCCAGATCCTGAGCCCAGGCCTAGGCTGAGTGCATGTTTTCAGTTCTGTGAGGGAGGCTCCCACTCCTGTTATCTTTCTTTGTAGCATTTATCACCGCCTGATGTAGTATATACTTCTTCTTTTGATGCCTGCCTCCTCCTCTGAAATGGAAGCTCCATGAGAGCAGCAGTTTCTTGGCTCACTGCTATATGCCCAGTATCTACAAGAGCAGTAGGCGGATAATAGGCATTCCATAAATATTTGCTGAATGAGTGAATAAATGAATCAGTCAATGCGTCTGCCAAACAACAACAAAAATCCCTTATAGTTGAAGTACCATAAAGTAATGCGTTGAGTTCAAGCCTGGAGTTTGAGCTATAAATAATAAGTAGGGTAAATAACTTACTGTCTTTGGTGCTGTATTCATCAGCAAATGCAGCAGGAATTGCTACAAAAAGCTCCTAAGAAGCTAAAAAATAAAAGATCAAATTGCCAGCTACAACCTCAGGAGATGAGCCAGTGTTCATGTTGTTTGCTTCACCTAGGATTCCCTTTCTTCCCAGCAGGCAAAGCTCTACTGATCCTTCCTATCCCCATTCAAATATCACCTTTAGGTTGACAGTAGGTTTCTGTGATATTAATTCTTTCCCCGACCCCAAGTGATTTTGCCTTGTCTTTGTTGCCTTTGCACTTCAAACATGGTTCTATTATGCCTCATTTCGATATACCATTAACAATAACTAATAATATCTAACATTTATTGAGTCTTGCACTGAGCACTTTGAATGCATTAGTTCACTTAATAATAATATTAGTAACATGGATCATGTGCCAAGTATTCTTGTAAGTACTTAAAATACATAAACTAGTTTAATCCTCACAACCATAACAGGCAGTACTATGATTATGTCCATTCTACAGATGAGGAAACTCAGGAACAGAGAGATTTTTTTTTTTTTTTTTGTAACTCACTCAAGGCAACACAGTGAGTTGTGTGAGTAAGCAGACTAACTGGATTCGAATTCAGATCCATTCTGTTCACAATTACACACACTGCATGTCTCCTCCACTAGAACAAAGAAAGGGCAGTAATCATCTTTATGTGTTCCCCACACCTAGAACAGATCATAGCACAGAGTAAGTAGCTGCTAAATAAATATTTGCAGAATTAAATGTGTAACTTCAGAGCGAATTTTGCCTCAACCTCCATTGCTCTGTGAACACCACGCTTCATCTTACTTCTGCTCCTGGATGTCCTAGTTAACTTCTCTTTCCCTGCACAAACATGTGCACCCCACCACGATGTATACCTTTTGTTCTTTTCTTTTTTTCCCTTCAATTACTTCCTCTACATTGTCAATCACATGCGTGACTCCCTCACAGTCCCTTCAACCTGTCACCTTTCTGGTCCCTGAGGAATCCAAAACGGAACATGTTATTCCAGATGGAGCTGTGGAAAACATAACCAACTCCTTGTTTCAGCTCATTCTTTTCACAGAGTAACTTCACATTTACTTATCCTGTGAAATGGTGCCCTTCTCAGACTCATGACTCTCCTCTCAGCACATGTTAAGGCTGCAAGCAGCCAAAAGAACCCTGAGTGGGACTGGGTCAGTGTAGAGATGAGGTATGGCCACAGATATCATTCTATAGGTACTCGTGTCTCTGGCACCTCCAATGCACACACTTCCCCAACTTTGATCACTCTACTCCCCATAAAAAATGTTGGGTGGCTTTCTAGGGATGGCTCCCCTGAGCTCAGTAAAACTCCTGCATTCTTGCAGATGTGTATTTAGACTTCCATGCAACATTCCAACAGGCTAGCAGTTATCCTATGGGCAGGCTAACCAATCATCCTGGTTTGCCCAGGACTAAGGGGGTTTCTGGAAGACGGGGCTTTCAGTGCTAAAAGTATACAAGTTTGTCACCCTCTCCAGGATGGCAATTGCTGGGTAAAGAATAAGTCTATAGAGTGAGATGTGTTAGAAGATATCCCTCAAAAATGACAACTTGAATAATACAAAGCTCAACTCACTTTGCATATTTGTATAGATTTGCAAACTTTTCCAGCTAGAAGGGACCTCAGAGATCACCAGGTCAAGCCCCAGATGTTTGTACAAATGGAAACAGGGGCAGAGAGATGAAACAACTCATTCAAGGTCAGCTATAGCAGAGCTTGGGAAAGAATCTAGATCCCCTGACCCTAGGCTTTTTTTTTACACCCTATGCTTTTTTTCAAACTGTTCTCTGGATGTTTCTTCCCCTACTTGAATGAGAAAGGCCATTCCATCAGGTACAGACTGGGCACACAGGGCAATGATGATAATGATAAAAATAACGATAATAATAGATAACATCTATCAAGCACTTACCATATATGAGGCATGGTGTTAGGGTATCACATTTGTCTATTCCTCATAAAATTCCCAAAGTAAGGACTATTATTCTCCCATTTTACAGATTCAGTAGTAGAGGCAGAATGCAAATGTGCACAGTGTACATTCATTCAAGCAATCTGTGACACTGTGAAAGGCAGAGTACTTCTGCCTCTGACCCTATCACACTGAAGAGAGAGGAAGGGATAGTCCTATGCAACACTGTGGCTATAAGGACCACCATGGCTCAGGTGCCTTCCCACACCCCGAAACATAACCCCTGTCCATTCCTCACGTTCAGTTCAAATTATGGAAGGATAAATCCTTGGACGGCCTTGGACCTTTGTCTCATTCCTGTCCTGATGCTAATTTTTATATATTTGCAAATTTTTTAATGTTTGCAGATTGTCCTCAAGGAAATTCCCTCCATTTGTCCTTGCCTGTACTCTCCCGCATTGTTCCTACCTGCCTCGGCCTCCTGTCCTTGACTGCTGACCTCTTATACTATGCTTCCTTCCACAAGCCATCGCCATGACACCTCCCAATTTAGCATCACGTATGAATGTCAGTACCAGGAGTTTAGTTGTTCTTCCAGATCATTAAGTGATGATGGCCAAATTGGGTCTTCTCACCTGACCCTATCACACCCCGAAAGCTAAGGCCATTTGTCATCACAACCTTCACTCCCATCTCCCAGCCAGTTCTCATTCTGAGTGACATGGCTTCCCCCCTGGCCAGCTTGAATTAATTTCTCAGGCAAGATTTCAGGCCATTTCTCCATCAAGTGATTTTACTAAAATCCAGATATATTACATCCACTGCATACTTCTCACCTTCTAGAACTGTGATTTGCTTTTCTGTAGTGATCAGAATGTCCTGACATGATTTGTCCTTTTATTAATGCACTCTCTTTGCTTTTCTCTGTTTAACTGTCTCTGTAAATTTCCCACATTGCGTAATCTCTTAATTTGGTTTTGTTATTTATACTTCAGAATGAATGAAGGTAGACTTAAAGGGCAATGACTGGCAATTAACAGGACTTCTTCCTTTTTGAAAACAAAAACACTCTCAGATCACTGCATTTTTTTCTTCCCACTTTCTGACAGCTTCCTCTGTTAACAGATCATGGGTAGAACACATCTCATTGTGAGCAGGTGTCTCAGCTGTCCTATGCTCCACTATGTCCTAGTACCCACAGCAATGCCAGGTATGCAGTAGGTGCTCAGTGAATGTACCATAGACACTTTGCAGTGTGCACAGTCCTTCCATGTCCATTCTCTCATCAGATCCTCATACCCCATGTGGTAAGCGGGTTTATCCCCATAATACAGATGAAAAGACAGGCTCCAAGAGGTTGAAGGCTGCAGAGCATAGTGGTTAAGAGCTCAGGCCTGGGTTCCAATCCCAGCTCGGGTTTCTCATTAGCTAGTTACCTTGGGCTAGTCTCAATCCCTGACCCTGTTCTCCTGTCTGTAGTAGGAGGATAATAACACATATTGCTATACACCCAGCTCATAGTGTTGTTGCAAGGATGAAGTGAGATAATGGCCATGAAGCACTCCATCCTTGGCACTCATTGTATTAATAATACTACATTTGGAGAAACTGCTCATGGCTGGTAAGTACAGATCTAGAACCACAACCCACCTCTCCTGCTAGTTCCTGTGTTCATATTTATACCCCAAAACCTGATATCTGACCATCAGGATCCTGGGACTGGGCTCCCACTTGTACCTGTCACAGGTAAGGTTAGGACCTATGCACCTTATCTTTATTCACAAGGCCTAGGGAAGCACTTCCTTGGCATGAGAATATTCGTACAGATGGGAGGGCCTACAGGATCTGACCACAGGCTCCCTCCAGTCTGGTCTTTTCCTGCCTGTCACAGCAGACCTATCCATCGATCTATTCCCCTGCCACAGTATGGCTCAGGGAGGATTTAGCTGATAAATGATGATGCTGTTTATAGTAACACCACTCCCTTCCATTCACAGTACACTTTACAGTTTACAAACTGCACACATTTAATTTCCCAACAAACCTGGGGCAGGCACGGCAGGGGTTAAATCCCCCTTCAACAGATGAGGCTCCAGGTGTGCTGCGTCTTACCCAAGCTATGCAGTCAGAAATGCAGAGTTAGGACTTAAATCCAGGGCTTCTCAATCCACACACAGGGCACTTTGATTTTAGGTCTCTCTTCATTCTTTCCCAACTCACCTCCTTCTGTGTTACTGTTCCTCCTCTGCCCCAATCTCAATTTCTGTAGCCCATACCACGGTACCTCATCCCCCACAAAAATGAAAGTAATACTTTTATCATGTTCGTAGGTTGATATTTGGGAAGATATATACAATTTTAAATTCACTTTAAATCTTCAAGTTCTTTTCCTATTTATCCCCCACCCAAGCATTGTGTTAAACCCTGTGAAATACTAGTTAATCAGATACAGTCAATCTCCTCTCCTATAACATCAAGCCTTTATTTGTAGAGGCATTATGGTGGCCATAAGGAGTAAGAAATAAGGTGCCCAGCCTCATTTCAGACTGGTTGGGGAGACACGAAGGTGACACACATTGCAGAAAGGCATAGTGCGGGGAAGATAGCTAATGCATGGTGCAGCTAGAAAGCAGCACGACATTCTAAGGAGTTGAGGTGGCCAGGCAAAGTGTCACAGAGTGTGTGAGGCTCAAATTAAACTTCAAGATATGGCTACAAATGGGAGAAATGTCCCTGATAAATGGGCAAGCACGAGCAGAGATAAGACGGCACCTGGGATAGTGAAGCATCATGGATTAGCAGGGTGGGGTTCTAGCCAAGGTTTCAGCAAGTGGGATGGGAGCTGAGGTTAGCCAAACTGTGAAGTACCGAATGCCAGGCTAAGGAGCTTGAACTTTATCTTCTAGGGAATGGGGGCAGCCATCAAAAGTCTTTTCATTGGGAGAGTGACACATGGAGCACAGAGTTGAGGGAGGATTTATTTGTCTGCAGCCCCACAGAAGGTGGTATATCACGGCAAGCAACATGACAGAGACAATCAGAAAACAAAGAGACATTAAATAAGGCTACAACATTACACAATACTACTATTGGAGGTCTTGGACTCCAGAGCGCATTTTCATGGAGTAGCAAGAGCAAGGCAAAGGATGTTCAAACTAGAGTCCAGGAGGAATGATCACCCCTTTCCGAATAGCCAGGGAGTGCAACCTCCTTACTCAACTTCCCTAGTACACTTTGCCCCTTTTCCTAACATCTGTGGCTTTCCCAATTACATATTTGACAGGCATCTTCCCCAAAGGATTGTAAAGATTCAGAAGCTGAGGGTTTGGCTTATTTCATTTATGCAATCCCCCTGCCCCTAATAACCCATGAAGGCTCAATAAAATTTTTTGGCTTGGATTAGAGTAAAATTTAAGAGCTGATTAAAAAAAAAGGGCTGGTATGCAGATTGAGGGTAGTGCGGTAGAAAGGAGTAAGAATTTTGGAAGGAATGGGAGTGTGATCCTAGTTTTATTCAAAGTGGTGAACAGTCCAAAGTAGGGAGTGTGTATTGGAAGCCCCCGCCCTGTATGCTTTCAGAGACCTTCCTCATCTGCACTCAGGTAACATTCAGAAGGTAATTGCTGGTTATCAAGGAACATGGTCTCTGAATCTCCGACGCCCAGCACACAACAGACACTCAAGCAATGGATCTGGAAGGGGAAACCAGCAATGTTTTGAAGCCTATGAGACCTTGGAGGCATAAAGCATTTTCAAACACATACCTCTTTTGACTCGGTTTAGGGACCTTGAAACTTCAAAACTGTGAAAGGAAGAAGTACACCCAACCCTTCCTTCTCTCTACCATGGAACCAAGAACCCCACCTTGATGACTGAAGACAGAAATGTACAAAGCACCAGTTGCTTTCAACAGCTGTCTCAGAAATGTTTTAGCAAGAATAAACTAAATCCAACAGAGAGCCTTGCAGGAACCTTTAAAAAACAATGACAACTACTCATTGTGCCCTCTAAAGAGCAGAGAAGACGAAAGGAAAGAGAGGGTATACACATACAAGAGTATTCACATACAAATATTTATGAATCCAGAAAAAAACAGAAATAGGACAGGAGAGGGTAAAAGGGCAAATCACTGTTCTTTATGAAGATGGGTTTTGTTCTGTCTTTACCAGTGATTGTAACCCCTGACCCATTTACTTCTCCCTTCCTGGCCTTGGGAAAGTTTTTCAATGTTTTTATTAGATATGCTGCCTTGGGGCAGATGGAAAGTAGCAGCATGCACGAGACACTGGAAAGAGCTCAAGATGGGGTTATGAAGAGCACCCTGGACTTGAATCCCAGCAATCCCAGCAGGGATAATTTAGGGCTGGGTGATCTTTTTTCTTTTTCTTTTTTCTTTTTTTTTTGAAATGAAGTCTCGCTCAGTCACCAGACTGGAGTGCAGTGGTGCGATCTCGGCTCACTGCAACCTCCACCTGCTGGGTTCAAGTGATTCTCGTGCCTCAGCCTCCTGAGTAGCTGGGATTACAGGCATGCGCCACCTCACCCAGGTAATTTTTGCATTTTTAGTAGAGACGGGGTTTCACCATGTTGGGCAGGATGGTCTTGATCTCCTGACCTTGTGATCCACCCACCTCGGCCTCCCAAAGTTCTGGGATTACAGGCATGAGCCACCGCACCCAGCCAGGGCTGGGTGATCTTAGGTGAGATGCTGAATCTCTTTAAACCTCGATTTCCTCATCAGTGAAATGGGAACAAAAGCAGCTCTCTCACTGGATAAATGTGCAGATACACATTCCTTGAGCACAACACACAGGAAAGCCACACGGTACCCCCAACTCCCAGTTGACCACCAGCGTGAGGCACTCCTCCCTTGCTTCTAGGTCTCCCGTCAGATCTACTGGGAAATAATGGGATTAAAAGAAATCACAGACACAAGCACTTTCGATTCCTCTGACTATATGCTAGGTAAATATTCACATCCTTCTGAACAACAAGGTAAAGGGTTTATTTGGAGTATTCTCAAGTCAATTTCCTCAAAGCCGAGATGTCTGGCCAGGAGCAGATAAGGTCAGATCTCACACAGACGACCTCAAGCCCGACCCAGAGGCTCCTGTTCAAAGGAGATTAACGCCCACTCCACGCTTCCAGGACCCCAGTGATGAAATAAATAATTCATTTCCGTCCCTGTTTCTCCTCTCACTGCCTAAATACAGATTTAGGTTTTAAATGCTTCCATTTGTAACTAAAATAACAACGAAAATCCCGGTGAAGAAACCCCCTCCCAAGTGGTACGTGTTCTCTCTGACTCTCCTGTTACTGGATTAGTCCCTGGGGAAGCCAAAGACACACACTTTAACCTTTCTCAGAGCAGACTGAATAACTAGCTCTACTTACAGCTGTTGATACAGCATCCCTGAAGACACCAGGTAAATGTTTCAACCAAGGCCACCGCCAGCTGGAAACCAGAGCCATCAGCCAATATAGACACTGGCAACCAGTTGTGAAATATGAGCCTCCTAATGCACTTCTGTTCCTCCAGCAGCAGTCCCAAGCTTTTTTCTTCCTCCCTCTAGTCCAAATAAAACAAAGGAGTCCACCAGAGACTTAACTATCTGCTTTGTTAGACAGTCAGATTATATTTCTTAAGCATTTTCTCCTTTGTTTTTGTTTAGATCTCATTCTTCCCAGGGGATTATACAGATGGGTAACAGGGAGAGTGAGATCAAACAAGACTGAACACAACACAGGGATGGCAAGACCAACATTGCATTTGCAGAGTAAAGTTAAGTGAGATTATACCCAGAGGACACCCCATGTCCAGGGCTGCAGCCTCAGTGCCAGCTCCAGGTTACTGAGAATGTATATTGTCATCGCTGTTGGGAGTCACCCAAGCCCATAGCAACCACCAGTGTGTAAGGCAAGCCCTGATAAATTTGGGCAAGGGGGTGGGACTTGGGGCTCACGGGTCACATGAGTTTCCTATTGATAATTACAAGCAACTTACAATGGGCAGTCTGTGAATCATGTAGGCCCCCAGAAATGTGTCCTCATGGTGATGATTTGTTACAGAAACAGGCCTTTTTAGGAGCATGAAGAGGAGTCTGGTAGACACAGAATTATAGGCTACTCCCCATGTTTCTCTCCTTGTGGGAATGGAACAGCACATGTGCACTTGTCATATATGCCATGACCTCCATGTTTCCCATACAGACACGGAGACAGAGGCAGACTGACGCCCCACTTCTATTATCCAAGGGGGATGAGAAGGCTTGAGTTTCAGCAGGCACTTGCGTGGTTGCCTGAAGATAACAACTAATTCCTAAGAATCTGAGTCCCAGCTCTCCCATCTACTTCCAAGGAGTGCTGTTCTCCTCCTTTGGATCTTTGCATTCTGACTTATTAGAGAGAAAGAAGCAGATGCCCTCACTTGCAAGATCATTCAAAGTGATGGCCTCAAAGACTTGTCCCTCCAAAGAATGGTCCACATACCAGCAACATCATGGACATCCCTTGGGAGTTTGTTAAAAATGCAGAATCTTAGGCTCCACCTCAACCCTCCCCACGCAGAACCTGCGTATAACAAGATGTCCAGATGATTCGGGTGCACATTAGATTGTGAGACACACTGGCCTAGAAAGCAGTTTGAGAAGGTCAAATGCAACCTTGGTGCTAAGAGGCAGCAGCCCTTTCAAGAAGGGCCTTTGCTCTCATGGTATTTGGTTTGAAGAACCTGATAACCACATCCTTCCAGTTGTTGCACCCTAGGGAACTCATTCTGTTCTACCTGCCACACTGGCTGCCCCTTGTTATACTGACGGCTAAGGCAGGTAATAAGAACTGTGGCCACAAGTCAAGGTAGAGCTAACACCCGCAGTGACATTGGGGGAATCGGGGGGGATGTTGCTGCCTCAAAATCCTAGATGAAATGTGTGGTTGGAAATTAGGTCAGTGTGCTAAGAAATAGCAGCTGATTGAGCAGCAGCTAAAAAGAAAGACTCTGTGAATGAGGTGAGGCATTTGAGAAACAGGTATTTACTGAGAGCCACTCTGTTAAAAACACACTTGAGACTAGAGGGCTGCCTCAGTCAGCTATCCATCAATAGCAATCCATGTCAGGTGACCTAAGTGGAGGCCTGAGATCAAGGCAGAAGGAAAGGATGCCATCAGAGCAGTTTCCACTTAAGAAAGTTGGGCCTGGCATTCACTCCATTCCCACAGACATTTCCCTGCCTCTTTTCATGTCAATGAACTAAGATCCTAAGATGCTGAGTCCCTGATTCCACAGATGCTAGGATACCAATGGCCTTCCCCTTTCACCTCTCTGCTTCCAAATGTTACCTATGCTGGCACACAAGCTCCCTCTTTGACATCCCCTTCTCATGGAAATAGGATGATTTCACAGCCAGATAGTAAGGATGAAAAATATACACCCCCAAATTTCCCAAGTCCTTATTAAGAACCTAGTTGGGTTTGGTTTCATATTTTGAAAGTTATTCTATCAAGGTAGAGCTGGCATTTGCAACTCAATATCCATTTCCCTATTCCCAAAATTTGGAGTCAAATATCCAGCCTCCCCCTAAATCCAATATACTGTAGGAGGAAAACCAACTCTTTAGTGCATTTTCAATTATACTCAGGATAGGTGTATCACGTTAGGTGAAATTATGATCTTTTTATCTTTATTTATAGATTAAGTATCATTTAAGGAGATATAGATGAGTGTCGAGTTGAAAAGGGGTAGACTTGTGAAGTGTAATTTTACGTGTCAACTTAACTGAGTCCCAGTACTCTGATTAAACATTGTTCTGAGTGTGTCTGGGAAGGTATTTCTAAATGGGATTCGCATTAGAATCAGTGAACTGAGTGAAGCAAATTGCCCTCCCCAATGTGGGCAAGCATCATCTAATCCAGAAGTCCTCAACCTCTTTGGCACTAGGGACCAATTTCATGGAAGATACTTTTTCCACAGATGGAGTGGCAGGGGGAAAGCAGAAGAGGGGAGGAGATGATAGTTTTAGGATGAAACTGTTCCACCTCAGATCATCAGGCATTAGTCAGATTCTTATAAGGAACACACAACCTGGATCCCTCGCATACACTGTTCCCAATAAGGTTTGCACTCCTATGAGAATCTAATGTTGCCACTGATCTGACAGGAGGCGGAACTTAGGCGATAATGCTCACTCGCCTGCCACTCACCTCTTGCTGTGCGGCCTGGTTCCCAACAGGTCATGAACCACCACTGGTCCACAGCCTGGGGGTTGGAGACTCCTGATCTAATCCACTGAGGACCTGACTATAACAAAAAAGCTATGGAAAGGGGAATATGCTTTCTCTGCCTTGTTGCTTACACTGGGACATCAGTCTTCTCCTGCCCTCAGACTGGGATTGACACCATCGGTTCTCAGGCTTTAGGGCTCACACTGAAACTATACCACTGGCTTCCTCTCCAGTTTGCAGACGGCAGATCATAAGACTTCTCAGCTTCCCTAATCACGTGAGCCAGTTCCTCATAACAATCATCATGTGCATATATATCTCCTCTTGGTTTTGTTTCCCTGGAGAACCCTGACTAATACAGTCAAGGAAGAGTGTTACTCTCTCTCACTTACAAAGACCAAAAACCAAATCATCCTGGGAATGGCCATCAGCCATCTTAAAATCACATGGGCAGGAGCTGCCAAAAATGAAGCCAACACCAAGAAAGTCAAGCCAAAAAATGGGGAAGACAAACACTAGGTCTTGGTCATATCATGTGAGTTACTGGACTTTTTAGAAACTGAGCCCATAAATGCCCTTTGTTGTTTAAGGCAGTTGAGTTGAAAGTTCTGTTCTTTGCAGCTGAAAGCATCCTAACTGACATATCAAATAAATAAATCATTCTCTGCTGGGAAGAAAGGGAATGTCTCACCAAAATTCTCTTGGCCTGGGCATATATATTAGGCCCTCCCAGCTCCCTTCTCCTCCAAAAATAAATTGTCAGACCAAAGGAAAAAAACAAACAAACAAACACCTTTCAGATAAAGAGGCAGGTAAAGCAAGTTAAGAAAAGTGGCTGCCCCTCCCTTCCTGCATCTCCAGCTCCCTGAAACAATAACCCCAAAATATCTTATTATATAGGTCTTTAATTCCTCTTTCTTTCCTTAGGAATTTCTTCCTTTACTCCTTCTAGGGATTTAAATATCAGAAGCAAATTGTCCACCCTACCCCCACAGCTGTCTGCCACCCCCGCCCCCAACTCTACACTCCCTCCTGTCACCATATTTAAAGTGGGGGTGGGGAGCCTTTATTCTAAACCCAGTGCATTTCTCTCAGCTCTTTCCTAATCCCTCCACCTGTGAGATAATTGCTGGCATTTAGGGAAAAAAACTCAATAGTAATCACAGACTTGCTCACAAAGACACAAAAAGAGGCAGATAAAATAGGAGAAAGAAAAAAATCACAAGCCCAGAATTATCCACACTCTGACATCCATTCCAATAGTACAATGGGCCAACCTCTAGCTACAAGAGAAAAAAGCACAGCTTTACAGGAAGGGGCTTCATTTCAGAACATCATGGAGGTAATGGTTACTATGCGTACAAGAGATTAAGATATATCTACAAACTAAAATGAGTTGCCATCAGTTAACTGTTCACAAGTCAGTCACAAAAAATAAGCAGGCCTATCAAACATGTACTCCTATTATTGTCTTAATGCAACAAGAAAATTATCTTAATCAAAAGTGTCCCTTTTTAGACGATAAAGAGGAAAAAAAATGCTGAGATATTTTTACCCAGTGATCACAATAAAACAAAATCCTATTGAATCAGGCATTTGGCCCCACTCCATCAACTCAAGCTAAGATCCCAATCACTTTTGGGTTATGGATGCAAGATAGAGGTCACATCCCTTAAAACAAGAACTACAACAAAAATCTACGTATAACAAATAGATTTGGTATACATAAACGCAGCTTGTTTTAAATATTTAAAATACAACAAAATACTTCTATTAAAGTCTCATACACTTCCTTTCGGTTCATTTTATTCCTTGGAATTTGCTGTAACACAGCGTGTCTCAAATTTACCTGATCATAGAATAATTTAGAGCTGCAGGTCCTACAGTTCTGAGGCAGGAACTAAAGTCTATAGTTTCACAAGTTCCCTGGGTGATTCTCACGAATTTGAGAAACACTAATGTAAGTAACTCTGAAGGGTTTTGTTTAATACAAAATACACATACAAGCTGGGTGCAGTGACTCATGCCTGTAATCCCAGCACTTTGGGAGGCTGAGGTGGGCGGATCAACTTAGGTCAAGAGTTCAAAACCAGCCTGGCCAACAGGGTCTCTACTAAAAATACAAAAATTAGCTGGTAAGCGCCTGTAATCCCAGGTACTCAGGAGGCTGAGGCAGAAGAATTGCTTGAACCCAAGAGGCAAAGGTTGCAGTGAGCTGAGATCATGCCACTGCACTCCAGCCTGGGTGACAGAGCAAGACCCTGTCTCAAAAAAAAATAAAAAGAAAAGAAAGAAAGAAAGAAAGAGAAAGGAAGGAAGGAAGGAAGGAAGGAAGGAAGGAAGGAAGGAAGGAAGAAAGAAAGAAAGAAAGAAAGAAAGAAAGAAAGAAAGAAAGAAAGAAAGAGAAAGAAAGAAAGAACGGAAAAGAAAAATACACAAAATACACATACATGTGTGTAATAGAAAAATGAATGAGAAGTGATTCTCTATCTCATAGAAACCATACTCACCTTTGTTTGAATGAAGGTGGGCTGAAGAAAGCTAATACGCATGACACAAGATCAGAACACAGAAGCACAGAACACAACTCATCCACTGGGGCAGAGACTGTCACTGTAGCCACCAGGCCCCTTATCCTGTTCTCCTGAGCACAGAGATAAATTGCATTTCCCAATCTCCTTTGCAATTGGATGGGATTACGTGACTGAGTTCTGGCCAATCATAGATGATGCACACTATGTCCAGGCATGGCCCTTTAGGAAAAATCCTCCAAGCTCGCTCTCTCCTCCTCTGCCAGTAGACTGCAAAGAAGGACAAGGCTCCAGAAAATGACAAAGCTACAGGACGGAAGGTGTCTTGGTGCCTGAATGACTGTGTGGAGTAGAGATCCCCCACTTCACCACCCACCAATCTGCACCGCAAACTGGAATGTGAGAAAATTTTGTTAGCATTAAGCCACTGTGATTTGGGAATTGTCATAGCAGTTAGCCTGCCCTGAGTAATATACATTGCTACTTCCCTGTATCCCTGTTTTTCCCCCATTTTCAACCCACTCTTCTGGATTTTAGGATGAAGTAAACACAGACTAACAGAGAAACAAACCACAAGTCGCTACCACTGCAATGTCAACATGCTATCTCAACATTATAGGAAACAAACTACTTGCACCCAGAAAAGGGCTTTCATATTTTAAGTGGCATTTGGTACAGACAAAGCCCAAGACAAAAGAAAAAAAAGTGAATCGCTTTTGGAATTCATTATATAGGGGTTTTCTTCCTACTCTATTGTGAGCTGCTCAAGAACAAAGACTGATTTTTACCCATTTTGTGTATCCCTTGTGCTCAATACTTGTTAAATTCAATTACACTTTATTGTTACTGTCGAGAGGAAAGGGAATATATTAAAACCATAACGAGAGCTAGACATCTTTTTAGGCATTTAATATGTGTTAGCTTATATACTTCTCAATTTTACCAAAAGTAAAATAATGTCTTATTATTTATAATACATCATATGTAATACTATTTATATGAATTCAGAATATATTAGAATAATATATTAGCATCCCCATTTTACAGAAGAGAAAACTGAGGTTCAGTGAAATTAATTGAAATGATGGTATCGTATATAGTAGTGTCACCTCAGGCTTTGGGGTCAGACAAAGCTCAGTTTATCTTGGTTCTGCTGCTAGCTCTGTAACTAGCTTTGTAACCTTGGGCCTCTGTTTTCTTGCCTGTGAAAATGGGGATAATGCCATGTAATCATTCAGAAATGTATTTAAACTGATACGAGAAAGTTTTGTTAAAAAAAAAAACCTTTATTTAAAGAAAGGCAGAGGTAAAAGTAGGGAAACTGGAGGATTATTTCAGACAAGATAAACCATTTCTAAGAAAGAAGTAGTGCTGGATCTCCAAAACAAACTGTCAAGCAAGAACCAACAGAAAAGCCAGTAAATGGGAATGCAGCTGCTCATCTCCAGGGAGAACAGACCTGTCTCTGTCCACTAAACAGACGAAACAAACAAAAAAGTGCACGAAAGTCTTCCAACTATCAGGTTGGCCAGAAAGGGCATAAGGCATGCAAGAGAGACAGTAAGCCTGTGAATCCTCAAATGTATTTTTTTCCTATAATTTTTGGAGGGAAGCCGGCTAAAAACAGGAAGAGATCTGGAAAGTTGACAAAAGTCATTACTCTCCACAAATTACTCTAACCTTGCCTAGGCGGTGACCTTCACACTACCACTGGTTTAATGGCATTTATTTCTACAGTAGCTGATTTCACTATAAAAAACAGAGATGCAGCGCACAGGATAATAGAACTAAATCACTCTTGTAAATATTTAATATCATTGCCTTTCTTTTTTCCTTTTAACAAATCACTATCAAAGGCGGAGCACATAGTAGAAAACACACTTATTTATTCTATCCTGGAAAAAAAGCTTAGTGCTCATGCATTTTATCTATCTAGTTCTACAAATGACTTTGACACTTGAGAGCCCTCGTGATCAAAACAGTCTGAAGGAAGGCAATTTTGCAACAATTTAAGAACCGATTTCCTGCACCCATCAACATCCCCCAAGGCTGCCTCACGGACGGGCACTAAACTTAACCCATCAGACACATGGTAGAACCCCGAAAAAATTGTTTTTTAAAAAGAAAACCCAGAAATGATACTGGCTTAAAGATAAATACACTCTCACTTGAAAAAAAAAATGTTTCTTTTTAGTTGAAAAAATTACAAATAAAATGACAACTAATTTTAAAGGAAGAAAGGAAGTGCAAACAACTATTAAGCAACAGTTTGTAAATCAGTCCCTGGTGAATATCATCACAGCTCATCTTTATTGCACTCAACATGCATCCACGCTGTTATAAATAGTCAACATGGGACAGCAAGAAAGAAAAAGTTATGGGTATAAAAGCTTTTTAAAAGTCAACTGGTGTCACCGTCTTACTTCAGCCAAGACAAAGCCATCAACAAAGCAAGTCTGTGTAAGTGGTACAAAGCATCATAAAATACTGAAATTCAAAGCAGCTTACTGACAACTTTGAAAGCTGGAGTTGTATCAGTTCCCAGGCAGACTAGTAATTTAAGAGATAACCTTTTTTAGAAAGTTTGCACACTGAAACTTCCAGAATCTTCCTTATATGGCATTATCAACAATGATCTCAGCAGCCTATGAATGATCTATAACAAATACCATCAACAGTGAAGATGACCAGGACTTAGAGGCAACTTGGTGGGAGGAGAAAGAAAACAACATCTGAAGTCAGAAAGTCTGTTCTAAGTCCCGATTGTGCTACAAATTTTCTGTGCAGTGACAAACACATCACTCATGCCCTCTCAGCATGTTCTGTCATCCACAAAATCACAGTGGAATCGACTAAAGGAATTCTAAGTCTCCTTTGAGCTCTGAAATTATATGCTTCTAAGATTTGAGGAAGCAAATCAGCATTTTTTAAAAGTAACCCAACCAAATGTTTTTGTTTTCTTCATGGCTCCTATAGTTCCATCAAGTAATACAAGGAAATCCTATAGCTCTTTGTGTGCACAAAAAAAAAAGCAGACACATCTATCAAAAACCTAAGAAAGAACAGGTTTTATGAGGATTACTATTTTTAGTATGGCAGGCTCTAAAGCAGGACTGTCCAATCTTTTGGCTTCCCTTGGCCACATTGGAAGAGGAAGAATTGACTTAGGCCACACATGAAATACACTAAGGCTAATGATTTCTGCTGTGCTTAGAAAAAAAATTCACACACACAAAAATCTCATAATGTTTTAAGAAAGTTTAAGAATTTGTGTTGGATTGCATTCAAAGCCATCCTGGGCTGTGTGCAGCCTGCAGACCTGGGGTTGGATGAACTTGTTCTAAAGGAAGAGACTAATGATTCCCTCTTGCAATGGAGGTACCCAAAGACCCTCTCTATTGAAAGCATAATGGGATCACAGGAAGACTTGGGGCTGGCCCTGTTGCAGAACTCTGCTAAGAAGTTACTTAACTCATCAACAAGTATTTACTAAGTTGTTTCTATGATGGGGCAGGCAATGTTACAGGCACTGGATATACCAAGACGAACAAAATCAGATACTGCCTCTGATTTTATGGTGCTCATAGTCTCATGAACTACTTATTATTTAACACTGTGTAGCACTATTTTAATTTGCACAGCACTTTCACCTGCATTGTATCAATTCTTAGCCAGAACAAATGTACCAAGTAGGCATTTTACAGGTAAAAACACAGATAGTCAAAAAGATTGAATAATATGTTCAAAGTTCCCATATTTAATGAGTGATGCTGATATTGACAAAATGTATTTATGATAACTGATGTTTGTTGTTAATGTTTATGATAACTAAACTAATGCTTATGTATGTTAGCTAAGCTCTACCATAAGCCTTTAATATTATTGTCTCAATAGATCCTCTCAGCAGCCTTGTGAAGTGTCTAGTATTCTTGCTCCCGTTTTGCTTATTAGGATAAGGAAGCTTAACAAGGTTGTATAGCTTGTGAGTGTCAAACACTAACATCAGTACTCTAACCCACCATGTTTTATTCCCCAGCATTCTGAATTAGGTCCTCACATTTATCTCACTGTTCTATTTGTTCCATAATGCTGACCCTAGGTTAGAATTATTCACACCTGGAGATCTAGTATTCCAGGTTCAGTTGTCACATGGATCAATTAGTTTAGAACTGCAGAACCTCACTCGTAACAATTTGGGCCAAGGCATTTGTAAAGACTCATTACTGGTCACTTGGGGAAACAAGGGAGCGTATGCCTGGCTCAGCAAACTACATCTCCACAACCAGATAAATAGCCCCAGGCAAATGGTGTACTACAGATGGATCAATGGCTGCCACTTCATACTGAACAGACAGCACATAAATAGGACAAAGTCCTCAGCTGTGCACTGCGACAACCCACAAAATCCTTAGCTGAGCCAATGACTTCTAAACAAGTAATTCCTACCAGAAAGCAATTCCTTCACCTACATGTTCACTGTCTGGAAAAAAAAAAAAAAAAAAAAAAGCCATTCATAACCAGACTCTCAGGATGAATGACCTTAGATATACAGTAGAGAAATAACCATGATGACTGTTGACCTGCTCCAAATTTGAAAGCAAATAAGACTAAAGTTCCTAGCAGTTTTCTCATGTTATGCCAAGATCAGCTCTTCCTAGAGTTAAGCAGCCATTCTCAGAAGTATTGTTTATGCTCACTATATGGATATCTGTTTAAGTACTCAGGTAATACAAACTGGAAGTGTTTTAACCAGACTAGTATCTTTAAAATTGCAGTTGTTTTAACATCTGTGGTGTGTATTTTACCAGGAAGCAGTAATTTCCCTATTTAAACGAACCCTTCCAAAAAAACTATTCCCAATCAAAATAGAAAATGTACTTAAAAAGACACTTGAGTTAAGCCAATCCAAAAGTTCCTTCAAATTTTAGAGTCATTAAGCCTTATAATATTAGCTTTGGTAGCTACTATAAAATTGCTGTCCAAAGTGTTTTTAACTGAACACTAACTAGTTCTAATTCTAGCTATTTTCATCCAAAATGAAAATCATAAAAAAGCGTTTCATGTCAAATAAATTTTGGTAACTTTGAAATGTACATTTTCCTTCTCAGAGGTTTGTAATTTGCATTGCCATAACAAAGGCTCTGAGAAGTCCCACAGTCAATAAACCTGCTTAGTTTAGAACTATGTTTTCAGAACTTACTTTTCCCAGTAGTTTTTTTTTCTTGAAATATTATTAGCATCTCTAAACATTGAGTACACATGGACACCAAGACAGGAACAAGACACCAGGGACTACTTGAGGGTGGAGGATGGAGGGTGGGAGGAGAAAGAGGATGGAAAAACTACCTATCGGGTACAATGCTTATTACCTGGGTGACAAAATAATTTATACCAAACCCCTATGGCACACAATTTACCTGTATAACAAATCTGCACATATATCCCAAACCTAAAGAAAAAGTTAAAAAAAAAAACATTATTAGCGTTTCTCAAAATTTTTTTGGAAGATGACAATCTGGCTGAACGTGCTATATAATACGAGGTTCTACAAGATGACAAAACTTCCTCAAATTCACCCAGATTTCTATTTTTCCTTGGGCCTATTTTGAAACCATATAATGCATTGTTTTTAAAGAAACAGAACATTTAAAACTTACCCAGTCAATACGCAAATAGGTTTAATAAGTCTAGGTTTAATAAGCAAGAGGCATTAGCCTCTATTTGATTTGAGTTTCACAGTCCTTTCATCAACTTCATAGCACACAAGCCATTATAGGTAAAATACTGGACCACAAAACTCACATTATCAAGTTCAGGTTCAGAGATATCACTAATAATAGAAGAGTGTGTTGTTCAATGCATATTTGCCATTTAGCAATTCTTACCAGCAACAAGGAACAATGGATTACAGTAACAAATTTATTTCAAATATTTCAAGAAAATGGGTTGAGAGACTTTTCTATATTTCTTTATTGCTTGAAAGACTTTTATTTGGAGAGAAGTATAATACACACACACAAACACACACACACAATAGTATTTGAGGTTTGAGATTTATTTTTTATAGTATCAAGCCAATGTACTGACTCTCATTTCAATAATAGATCTGCAGGCATTTGCGAGGCATAGTCATTAGCTTATCTTTAAGTAAATATTTTGATTGTCAGACAGCTCATTGCAAACAAGGTTCTTTTCCAAACTCACTTCTGATGCATCCAAGCCCACTTGCACATCATTCGTTTAATAATCTGTGTCTGTGCTAAAATATAAAATCATCCTAAGGAGGTCAAAGTACAGAGAAAAGCAGGCTTTGCAGGGTTTCATTTAAAAGGGCTGCAGAGCATGTGGGACCCAGTTCTCTTTCAGTTCTATGGTCTTGACTATGCTACATTACCATAAAGCTTAGGAAATGAGCTATTACACACCATCATCCCTCCTAACTGCTATCACAGAAAATCACACACTCACAGAACAGCATTAATTGTCAGAATTAGCAACCATTTAAAAGGCAGCTGTTCTTTCACTCTTAAATAGGCTCCAAATTTCAGATCTTCTCCCTGCATTGGCTGCTCCATCTATTGCTCTTACACACGCACACACATGCATGCACATGCACACAATGGCTCTTTAGTCGAACAAATTTTTTAAATTCTCTATATTCATAAAAAAAAAACAAGAAAATGTTATTAAGCAACATTTTTCATCCCAATACTTGCCATCGTTGTTACAACTGACTGGAAAGCTTCCAACCTGCAGGGAAGCACTTTTCAAAGCTCCAGGTGGAAGGTCTCTGTTTTGTGTGGGTTGGGGGAAAAAAAGAGCAGTATCTCTTTAAGAGTCAACAGTAAATTAACTTGCCCAAAAGAGTGAAATAATTAGCAGTTAGTAGCTTATTAAAAGGATGGCAAAGGCCAAGCTGCCATCTGGGATCTGCAGTTTCTTGTGATTGTTATTATGTCAAGATGTGCAAGTTGGATTAGGTTTCATGTCATCGCTTCTGCCCTTGCTTTACATGTAAATTTTAATGAAAGATGCAGCACTTTTACAATCAGACATCCATCAAAAAGTGTTATTAGTCTGGCTTTTTACAAAGCATATGGTCTTTTCCACCTCTGCTATTCTGCTTACCACTAAATGCCTTAGGAAAAAAGAGAAAAACTCAATAATATCAATTAGGTATTCTCTTTGTATAGAGGGAAACCTGCGCTTCATCAAAAACAGGGCAAAGCTACCTCACAAGAGGACAATATTTTTGCTTCTATTTACACACAGTGAAAAACCACACTGCCTGGGTGTCTCACAAGGTTAATCCTTCTTAATGAAAGTTAAGCAATCTAGAGCCTGCCTACTGATTATTACATGGATAAACACAATTTTGGATTGAGTGGGGAAAATACATGTATTTATTAAAAATAAACGGTAATTTTTTAAAAAATAAATCAACCAATAAAGAAAAAGAAGTAATGGCAGAAAGGGTCACAATGGAACCTTATAGTGATGGGCATATTCTATTTCTTGATTTGGATGGTATTTATGTGGGTATATACAGGTTAAAAAAAAAAAACCTTTAAGCTGTATGCTTAAGAGCATGCATTTTATACACTTTGCACTGTGTATGCCATCCCCAATAAACAAATAAATGACAAGCAAATAAAAAATTCCCTATGTGTTCACACACAAAGCACATTTTCTTTTCTGATTCTGATAATGTAAAGCGTGGGTGATCTGACTAAATGATTACCTAACAATTTCCCTTTAAAATAAAAAAATTAATTTAAAAACTGCATATATAAAAATACATTAAAAACAATGCATTTAAGGCTTTTTACTTGAGGAAAGGTGGTTGTTACATCTGAAAGCTATTTTCAAACTCCCATTGACTGTGAGCAAGGTGTCAGAGGGCTGGGTCTATGTTTGCTCAGTTTCTGTGTACTTAGCACCTAGCATATCGTTGGCTCTCCATCAATATTTGTTGAATGCCAAATAAGCATTGCTTTTCTAATATTGAAGCAGAGGATCTGCTTAATTCTGATACATGTCACCCTGGAATCTATTATTTTCAGTACACCTACAAATGGCAACTACACATAAAAACACAATACACCAGTATAAGCCTATTAATATGTACTTGTGCAAATTGTACCTATACTCAGATATACACTGCCCTACACACCTAAGAAACAGACCATGGCATGTACAAGCCTAAGCACAAGGGGAAATGCACTTTGCTTGTTCTCTCATTAAGTATCTTTCCATCAGACTACTCTTTCGAATTCTTTACAAATGAGATGTATCTTAAAGACAACACAATTCAAAACATTCTTTGCCTGTAGGTGCTATCAAAGTCAAGTTTATGTGTGTATACATATTGATCTACAGTTGAAAATTATATATCTTCTAAGATTAACTAACTCAACTGGATAAGCAAAGGTCTATACAAACAGATAGATCATTATTCATACCTTAGAGGAGAAAGTATTTTATGACATATATACGCAGACATAAAATCTATAAGTAATCAATAAATCCAAATTGATCATTGAGGAGGAGGAAACAGACATGTTGTTTCAAAATCTGAGAAATAATTTCTTTTATGTATTGTCAGTTGGAATTTAATTAAAATGTTCTACTGATACATTGTACATTTTATTAATAAATCTTCTGTTCACATTAACACTTTTTTGAATGCTCCAAGAAACATCCATGCAAAAAATGTCTTTGGTGTCCAGTCAAAATTTCTAAACAAGAAAAAAACACACTTTTCATATTTTTCAAGCACCGTCTCAAAGACATCACTGCCAAAAACACAGAGCTGCTAAAATCAAGCAATTTACTTTTTATGTTTAAAATAAATCTATTTTCCCCCACAGACTTTCAAAACATTAGAAGAAAAAATACATGGAAAACAGGCTTCTTGAAAAAACAAAGCGATTTTATATTCACTGTCAAGAGGACAAATCAGTGGTGGATGAGAAACAGATGAGACAAGAGATGGAAATGTAATACTGCCCCTATTTTATTATAATTAGATATTTATAGAGCACAGATGAGTTTATTTTCATAATTAGTAGCTGGCATTAGTAAAGGAATTTGCATACACAGTTGGCTATCAAGGCAGTAACTTATTTTCAAGGCTCTCAAGTCCTAGCAGGGACAAGAGGGGGCTCAGCTCCTCAAATCAGCTTTCTTAATGTTATTACCAGTAAAATGCAATCTACATGAAATCATGTTCAAATTCATGTAGCTTGATTATATCTTTCCAGTTTGGCCAGTGTTGATTAGCTCAGCATTAGAAGGCCAGTGATCAAATCTACATGGGAAAAATACACATAAACAAATCAAAAAGGGCTTCTGAACTTTAAAGGACTAGAATAGATCTTAGGGTCAACACCAGGCAATCCAGTGAATACAAAACTCTGTAGAGCAAAAGGAAAAAGAAACTAAATCCCCCTGCTGCCCGGCCGCCCTAAAGGTTTAAAAATCAGTTCTTGATCGTTATTAAAGATGTCAGATACCTCTCTCCCAGGTCATTCTCTGCATTCTCCATACCCTCCCCACACTTTCCCACACCACTCTACAAAAGCAACTTTACCCAACACACAGACCAGCCTCTCCGAAGGTAGTGCCAAGGGTAGGAAGGATTCTTGGTAACTGATCACAGCAATGGTCAAAGAGAAAATTAATCAAACTACCTCCCACTATTGACATCCAGTAAGAAATCTTGAAGGAATCTTTTTCTCCTCCTGTCTTCTCAAGCCAAAGGTCAAAAACTTATGACTCATGCACCAAATCATCTGGCACGCAGGTGTGTGTGTGTTCATACGTACATACAGAGAAGATACCTTCAGATGACATTTTTATCACGTCCACTTCTGGCTTTTCTTGAGCATCTGGTGACTGTGCCTGCATCCTTGCATGGCAGCGATCAGCTGGAACAGAGTGGAGACTACTGCCTTTGATGGGACTTGCACTCTCCAGTTTGCCATGATTCCCACCATGACCTATTGCTTCTCTTACACTAGGACACTACTTATCTCCAGGTCTACTTCTTAAGACTGGTCAGGTCCCTGCTGGCTTTTGGGTCTGTGACCCCTGCCCTGAGTTCAGTTTCAAGGGAAGGTATTTGGTAACCTCATCCAGAACGGGCAATCCCTAAATGGACTAGAAGAAGGGGAAGAAGGCCAAAATATACTCTCAACACTTAAACAGGGGCTTTCGAAATACCTGACCAAGGCTGGTTGCTGAAGTCCTCTGTGTGAGCCACTTCTAGGTAAGTTCACGCTTGTTTCTGGCCATGTCCTGCCCAACGGCCTCCTCAACAGAGTGGTTTTTGTTATAGCCTACCCACCCTGCTCAGTTTTGTAGATTTAACTTGACAATTCTTTCCATTATGGATTTACTACTTCATCATTCAGCTTTAAAAGAATGACAACATCTGAGGCATAGTCCTTCTTTTCTCTGACAAATGTCTAAGAATAAATTCAAGACCTTTCCCACGTTTATTCTGGTGTAATCTATAAAATTTTCCCTCTGACACTTGCACACACAGGGCCAAGAGAAGGCCTTAGTGAGGAGGGAAGTGGAGCCAGAACACGTGGTCTTACTTCATGACCCATTGGGACTCCTTTGCTCAGTGATTTGGGGTCATGAGGGTTGTGAAAAGGGGTACATGTTAGTAAGTAGAGAGATTTCATTACTAACATCAGTGTTGAAAATCTAATCCTGTCTATCTCCCCTCCCCCCATATCTAAAATCAGTTGTTTAGTTCAGTTAAACCATTACTTAATTTTGTAAGCATTCATTAAGTACGACTCTGGCCCTAGTACTGAGCTTGTGTAGAATGAGTGACAGAGAGGGCAAAGACACAAGTCTTGGTCCTTTGTGGGACAGGTGTTGGGGAGTGGATTGAAATACATGAGTAAACGTGACTCAAGGCAGTTTGGCATAGGTACCTTATAACACAGCACAAAGTCTGGCAGACTTAGGAGGCTTGGATCTTCAAGGATAAGAGGGAGAAGCATGTTCAAGGACATTTAAGAAAGAGAATAGAGCTTTAGCAAAAGTCCAAAGGCAGGAGAATGCAGTGTGGATGCAAGCAGAGTGACTTTGGGACTTTTGGAGATGGGGGAGCTGGCAGGGGTGATAGGTGGGCAGAGGGGGTATGCCCACTGAAAATAAAGCAGGGAAGGCACCTTGACAATTATACAAGAAGAATCTACCCAAAACTTTGGAACAGATGAGCTACATGACCCGATTTAATTTTAATTTTGCTTTATTTTCACTTTTAGGAAGATAAATGACAGCAAGATAAGAGGATTAGAGATTTTGAGTCCTTTCTGCATGGAACACACTATGCTAGACACATCTGGATGTTAACAAATGAATACATTTGTCTTCAACGTACGTGCAATCTAGTAGAGGGGAGTGGTCCAAGTCCCAATTAACTTCCATATAAATTGTTAGAGAGGTACATGGAGGAAGAGCCCAACTCTGAATGGAGCATTCAAGGAAAATATCACATAAGAAATGAAATATATGTATTTTTCAATGGGCAGAAAAAAGGGGATGAGGGACTATTAAAAGGTAGAGAAACAGAATAAGCAAAGGTAAGAGATGAGGAAATTCTAGAGAGGTTATTTGGTATTCCACTTGGCTGGAGCAGCAATTTTGTAGTTAAGCTTAACAGAGGAGCAAGATAAAGGTAAACACGACCATATAAGGGAAGGCTTTGAAAGGGAGATAGCTAATCCTGCACTCCATTTGTGGGCCGCAGAGTTTAAGCAATTCTCAACCACTGGATAGACTAGAAGAGAACAGAGGCAGAAAGACCAATTAGGAGAGGGCAATAATTGAGTAAGTGCTAACTGGAAACTGATCCAGGGAGCTGACAGCAGAGATGCAAGAGACATTCTGGAGGAGAGTCTCAACAAGCTCTCTCTCTACCAATTGCCTAGGAGGAGGAAGGTTCAGGAAGGAGAATGATAGAAAGTAATTCCTGGGTTTCACACCCCACGGTGATAAGGCAGGTGGGAAATGCGTTAACAAACAGGGAGACATCATAAAGGGAAGCTGGTTTGTGGGCAGATGACATGAAGGTTGACTTTGAGCCCACTGAAGTGCCTCCCTTAGTGGGGCATTTACAGAGACATATGCTACAGAGAATGCAAGGTGGTAGGCTGGAACTTATGACAGGTCAGTGTAGAGAGGTAGCTAGAAGGCTTAAACGTGGAGGTCACCCTTGTATCCGGGAAAGACAGTATAGAGTAGGGGTTAGGGGCACAGATTCTGGGTTTGATTCTCACTTAGTAGTCATTGGCTTATGTTATCTGACTCTGAGTCTTATTGTTCTTATCCGTAAAACAAGAATAATGCCACCACCTACCTCACAGATGAGTTATGAGCATTAAGTGTGACAAGCCCATTAGGCATATAGCACAATGGCTGGTGCATGAAAGTGTCAGCAGCTTCTAGTAGTGGTAGTAGCAGTGACTCCGAGAAAGAAAATAAGATACTCACGTGCAAAATCTAAAAAACACTCAAAACATCTATTTTATGGGATGTTGTAGGGGATTAGGGAAAGACAAGGAGACAGAGACAGAGACTGAATCTAATGTATTGCCAATGAGAGAAGAGGCAACAGTGCCACACGCATCAGAAAAGTTGAGTCCTAGGCAGATTGGTGGCTGTGCCTATGAGGTCACCAGTGCCTTCCACTAAGTAGCGTCAGTGGAGAGGTGGAGATACAGCCAGATGTAGCCCTTTAATCATTTATTCCTCTTCCTCTCCCTGCTTTCCCACCCACCTCCTTTCAAAAGATACCAACTTAGCAATGGGGTAAGGGTTCCCCATGACAGATTTCTGAGAATGAAGCCACCTGGGATTAGCATAAAAGGAACAGGCAATCAACCAACCCCAAAGTGGAAAGGACTGAACTGCTTCCAAGGCAACCATACATAACTTTTCAAAGACCCAGAAAAGCATAAAACTCAAATAAGCGATAGCCATCTCACAGACGTGTCACTGAATCCATGTTTTCAACAACTTGTCAGCCCCTTCTTTCTTCAACATCCTCATGGCATAAAACACATTTCCTACTTCTGTTACTTGCCAGTCTTTGAAGGAAGAGACAGCACACAGACTCATTGAGATAGGGGCTGGAGAATTAGGGAGGAAACAGGGAAGACTAGATGTAGATACATATTTATAATTTATCAATTAACCTCTCCCTTCACTCCTGAACAACTAATCCAATTTGAGCTGGTGAGCCAGGTTCTCTAGGCTCGGGTCTCTGACAGCTTTGATTAGAAATGGATGCGTTACCCAAAGGTGTGGTGCGATGAAAGGCATGTCAGAGTGTTGGCGCAAGTTTGCACACTCAGCCCCTCTCCTTTTCTCTGCCTACCTGGCAAAAGGCTGGCTTTGTAAGTTAAAATCCTACGTTATCTCTTTCTCCTCTTCCTCCTGACTGTGTAACACATTTTCATTCCTGTGTTCTTTCACACCCTCCCAGTTCCACCCTTCTGAACCCATCACCCCATCAGAAAATTCCGAATCCCACATATACAGGAAAAACAACACAGGAAAAAAAGAGAAATAAATAAATATCCCCCCCAATTCCACATTAAATAAAATTTCAGGCAATTCACCAATTCTCTCCCTTTCTCATCTATCATCCTTCCCCCACCAATGTTATCCCCAAATTCAGTTATTCCAAATAATAGCAACAATGATACATAATTTCATACTTCCCCTGTTCCCTCAATATATTTACTGGGAGGGGATCTTAGAACACCCTCCCCCGTTCCTGATAGAAAGAGTACAAGATCATGCAGAAGGCCCGCCCTCAGTTTAGAGGGAGGCAGGCCAACACAGAATCATCCCCAAACACTGAACATGAAATGCACTGAAGGGAAATGATAGCATTGGCTTTTTATTTTTATTCTTATTTTTCAGTTGTTGTTAAAAGCATTAATTTATAATCTGGACTGTATTCAGAATCGACAATCCTCTTGGATGCATGAATATTTCAAAAGGCAGATTGATAGTTATAATGATAAAAATAAAGTGAGCTCTACCTTTACTTCTACCTACAGAAATGAAGGTCCAATTAAGTAGAGGAAGCATGGTGTTCACCATGGAGGCGGCCAGAGAGAGACAGAGAGAGAGCAAGGAGAGTCAAACATCAGCACACTGCAAACACACAAAGAGACATAAAACACACAAAACAAAAACTCACAACAGTAAAGGCAGTAGCATTGCAACATCCTAAGGAGGCAGCGCAAAACAAACATACAATGTGGAAGCTTAAACAAGCAGTAAACGCTGTGACCAGCAAGGCTGCTCCCTCAGCTTCATGTTCAAGCTCCATCCCATTCATTTCTTCTCAGTCCCATCCTCAGAAACATGACAAAGTCTGCATGCAAAAGTACTGCACAGCCACATGTATGTGAAATTGCATGCACTTAATCTAAAAATGATTAGGGGACATCTCGGAGAAGCTAGGTTCTCCTGTATTTTCCTAACATTAATATGAGTTATGAGGACCAAGAGTATAACACACATGTATAGGTGTTGTACACACAACATACATACATATTTCCACACATATTTATGGGCACAAAAATAAATTGTTAAGATTCAGCAGAAACCAGACAGAAGCCTCCTTTTTTCATGTTGAAGGAATAAGGAAAAGGAAAGGAGTACTGGTGAGAAGAAGAGTATCGGTTTTTTAGGTAATCATCAAATGGGTGAGAACAGATAAGGGGATAGGAAATGGAAAGAATGAAAGGAAGAGGAATGCAGTCAAAGGACTGTCTTAAAAACAGATTAAACTTCAAGTTGCAACTTAAAATATTAGTAGCACCAGTTACCCAGAAGAATTCTGCATCCTTTCTTGAAAACCTCTCAAAAGAGGAATTCACAACATCCATGTCTGTCATTATGTCTTTCTCTCTTTCTAGAAGGTACCAGACTTATTCCCCCGGAGCATGGTTGTATCTGAAGCTCTGTGTGTGTGCATAAGGAATATAATATAGGCTCTCCAAATGTTTTTCATACCAGTGTTGGGATTTAGCCTTCCAAGATATCCATGCTGCATCAGTGTGTCTGCAATAAGTTAAATCAAGATCAAGGAAGTCCCCATCAGCCTATCCCATTTGCCACACTCTGCCCTATGATGTGATGCACTCAGTTCTCCAAGCCACTATAAAAGCTTGGAGAACTCCCAAGGGGCACGTGGGATCATAAGGCTAAAGAATGTAGGAGGGGAAAAAAGAATGTAGGAGGGGAAAAAAGAATGTAGGAGGGGCTTATTGGGACTCTAAGAGTCTGCTTTTGCTGGTGTAACTTGTCACCAAAGGTGAGCCATCAAATTCCAGCAATTCATAGAGCTCGGTTCCTCAAAGAGATGTGCTTAACTCTCTCAAGCTGCCTGCACACTGGTCAACATCAGGTACATCCCCTACTCATGTCCACCTCATAGTCACTTGCTGTTGGCCCTTCCCTCCCTCACTAAACTGCAAGAACAGAGACTTCATCTCAGCCTCTTCTGGAGCCCCTTCTAATACTAGAGAAGTCACCTGATCTCCTCTCCCAGTTCTATTTTTTGACATATGGTCTCTACCAAACCATCTCCTTATTGAAATTTCTGAAGTCCACACCACTGATCTTGGCTTAGGTCTGGAGGATACATTTACATTGGAAAAGTAGGCTTCCTCCTTACCCTGCTTTGTCAGTTCAGGATGCCCTCGACTGCCCACTTCCACAGCTAACTGGATGCCATAAACGAACTTCTTCCAGCCTCGGGCAGTTCCTTGATTTGATGATACTGCCGTTTATGTCAAAAATGTCTGATGGACTCAATGTCAGGGAGCAGGGGAGGGGAAGTCCCACCCTCCTCAAAAGCTCAAGAAAAACAGGAATATATGGAATTATCCTTCTTTCCCTTTTTCTTTGGTCCTCCAGAAGAGGTGCTGAGTCCCATGTATATTTCAACACGACATAGTCAAGAAAAATTAGACTTTTGGTTACAGGGCAAGGCAGGTAGACCAATCTTGCAATCATCCCAAGGCTCAGAAGAAACACAATAGCAGCAATTGAACTGTGAAGGAAAAGACAATTTTAACTAGGCTCAGCTCTCAACTCCTGATTTAGGCTGATAATGTGGAAAATTTTTATTTAGGAGAAAAAGGCTTCATTCACATCCCACCCTGTGCTTAGCTGAGCTGAATTTCCTGCACAGTTCATTCCTTGCATATTTGAATATTTTAGGTTGCAGATGCTGAATTTACAGATCTTTATATGCAGTTTTCTTCAGGGTGTATAATGAGTTAGTATTCTGCCATGAGGACATTAGCATGTTCTTTAGGTGGTTTTTGCTTTTATATAAAACTGAAAACAGTCAAACCCACAAGGGCTTCCTTTGACCATGGAAGGCAGATCATTACGGGCAGTGTAATGGAGGGGAAGACAAAAAGCAGAGGGAAATTCAGGGAGGAGCCCAGCTCCTCTCCCCCAGCCTGGAGCCCCGGCATGGGGCCTGGGGAGGAGCAGGAGGAAGTTAACCGCTTGGTTGCTCTGAAATTAGCTTCATTCACCCCCATTATCGACACCGTCATGCCTGGTTTCATGCTTCCCTCTCGGATGCAGCCCAGCAGGGCCAGCGCCCAAAATGACAAATGGTGGTGGAGAATGGAGAAGCCAAGGGGACAATAGGGGTGGGAAACCACGATGCATCAAGGAAGGTGCCCCCACCCCCACTGCAGGGTGGTCCTGCAGCCAGCCTGGCCCAGCGCAGGAAGGACAGGCAGCGAATGGCCTGCCAGTGACGATGAGGCTCTGTGACCAGCCAGAGGCACGGAGGCAAGCAGTTCAGGCAGCTGCAGGACCACAAGCACAAAGCACCTACCTTGTTCACTCATCATGAGGTGGGAGAGGCCTGAGGAAGAGAAACAGGGAGAAAGGGAAGAGGAGTGGGGAAGGGTAAGGAAAAAAAGAAAGAAGACAAAGTTAAAATCCCAAATGCAATACAATCTTAATCCTTGAGTGGAAAAAGGAGTGACAGGGGCCGCACGCTTGCTCACATGTCAGACTCCACATGCACATACCCTGGGACATGCAACAAACATGGACACCCCAGCCTTCCTGCTGCTGGGCAGAAAGCCTGGCTTTCTAGCTTACAGTCTTGTGTTTGCAGAACTGCTCTGGGCCTAATCACGAGAACTTTCCTTTTACCGTTGTTCTGTGCAATAGGTAGGATTTGTGATAAATCTGTTAAAGATTAAGTCCCTTGGGAAGCAGACTTAAGACGCCAGGTAAAGTAGGTTTCTTTCTTTTAAATTACTTGTAATAGCAATACATGGTCACTGTAGAAACTTGGGAAAAATCATCAGAACAAAAATAAAAATATCAATGGCAATCCCACCTTCCAGAGACTACCATCCAACTTTTTTTTCTCTAGATAGTCTTTTCTACAAAAATTGAATCATATGGAATGTATCAAATAAGTTCCTGTTTACAAGAGTTGCTCAGACAACCTGGAACTGTTTCTATCACTGTCATCTTAGCCCAGGGACAACAATACCACTTCTTCCACTTCTCCCCCACCATCTTTCCTAGAAAGGCCTCCACACTTGATCAGGGAGGACTAGCCAAGCACTGAATGGTTATAAAAGGTATGTAAAGTCCCAATAAATAGATAACAGAACCTCTGGCTATATTATTATGGAAGGCAAACAGGGATATTAAGAGCTCCTTGGTTCAGGAAAGCACAAGCCTTGATAAATCTATTAAGAAGAAAAAATTTTTAACCAGGAACCAATTGTACCAGTTATCTGCTCTTGTATTGGTTCTGTTGTTACTGGAGATATTTGACATATCCAAATCACTCCAGAGAACCTTACTCTGAGCAAAATTCAGGGATATAGGGGATTAATAAAGGAAAAAAAAAGTATGGAAATCTCTAAATGTTTTTAGAGATTACTAGAGATTTAGAAAAGTAATCAGAGACAAAATATAGGTCAAGCAACTGACTTTTAAAAGATCAATGATATATTAAATACACAGATACATGTGCCATAAATGTCAGGGGGTCTATTTGTCAAACAAGTTTCATTAAACTATAATATTTTAAATAGATAGTTTTAGTATTTGTTGCTCTAGGACCAGGATAAATACTCACGGAAGAATGAAATCAAGATAAAACAAGTCATTTTCATGATTTGTTTTGTTCAAAAAATTCATTTTGGGTCTTTTGTGGGGGAAGGGTATAGTAAGAAGAGAGGAGAAAAGGCCCTAGACTTGGTTAAAAGAAACTTCCATAGAAATAAAGGTTCTTAAAATGTCTGTTGGAGTATGTGGCAAGGGGAACAGGAACAGAACAGGTGTATGAATTCAGTAGGTGACGCTCACAAGAGTGGCTCACACCTGTAATCCTAGCACTTTGGGAGACCAAAGCAGGAGAATAGCTTGAGTCCAGGAGTTCGAAACCAGCCTGGGCAACATAGTGAAACCCTGTCTCTACAAAATAAAAATTAAAGAATTAACTGTGGGTGGTGGTGCATGCCTGTAGTCCCAGCTACTCGGGTGGGCACTGAGGTGGGAGGATTGCTTGAGCCAAGAAGTTTGAGGCTACAATGAGCTATGATCGCACCACTGCACTCCAGCCTGGGTGACAGAGCAAGACCTTGTCTCAAAAAAAAAAAAAAAAGACAGAGAGAGAGAAAAAAAAAAGAAAAGAAAAGAATAAGGAAGATCTGAAGAGCTACCTAAGAGTCAAATAGAGGGTTAAAAAGGGCAAACATTTTACCCCTGAGATTAAAGATGTTTGGCAGCTGCAGGAAGAAGTGAGTAGGAAAGCGATGGAAGAGTCTTTATTTGACCCACGTGAATATTTTTTAAATTTACTAAATAGTGAACAGGACATTTGGTAGTAAGAGGGGATTCAAGCCTCGTAAAAACCTCTATCATTGCGCTTTATCTTATATGCTTCCCAAAGTGTATTTCACTGACAATCTACATCGGCCACCTGGAGATGGTTATTAAAAAACGAAGATCCTGGGCTTCACGAACCAAGACCTAATGAATCAGAATTTTGGGAAGGAGTGGGGGCCAGATCTGAATTTTAAACAAGTTGCCCAAGTGATTCCCATGCTTACTGGAACTTGAGAGCTACCCCTTTAGAGTGGCATATAAATCAAATTTTGGTAAATTAAATCATATAATAAATGCACTAAGGGGAATTGGATATTTAATAGAACCCTGCAGTGGACCCTTTTGTAAAGGGAAGAATCCTTTTAAAATGCAAATAACTCACCACCTGTGTTTTTAAAATTCAAATATGTACTTATCAGGTTTTATTAAACTACATATGTAGTTGCAGTATTGCCACTCAAATAAAATGTTCATATTCAACTTATAAAACCCTTAAATAGAAATACTAGGCCAGAAAACGAGATACACGATCCTGATGCCAAAACTTTGGTTTTATAGCCAATAAAGCAAAATGGATATGAATCAGTGTGACAGGAAACAGGACTGGGGGGAGAAACCATGTAACCATAATACGGTTTGTTTTATTTTGCTTTTTGAGAAAAGAATTATCTTCCACTTTCAAGGGCTTTTACATCAGTACATTTTCTTGCACAAACCTGTCCTCAGAGCTTGCAGAGTTAAAAACTGGAAACCAAGAATTCCATCATGCCCAGGTCTATTTTGAAATTCTGCTTCTCCGCCTTCTACCTCAAAACACTCCTACTTGTTGCTAAAAATCTCAAGCCCCTCAACAGTGAATGGAAGTACCAACAACCAATCATCCAAACAATTCATGTATCTACCACATGCATAGACTGAATAAGGTAGTGGGGATACAAGTAAGTGTGGGACATCATCCCTGACCTCTAGAGTTCAGTCTAGCTGCGAAGGTATGCATGTGCTTATATTTACACACACACACATTTGCCATATATACTCATACCTGACAGTGATGCATGGGGGTTAAGATCAAGGACTTCAGAGCCAGGTTTGATTTCCATCTGTGCTACTTTCTAACTTGTGACGCTAGGAAAGTTGTTAAACATTTCTTTGCCTTGATTTTCCTATCATAAAATTTGACTAATAATAATGCCTACCTCAAAAGTTACTTTGAGGATTAACATATACAAATTTGTGCCTACACATAGGAGCTTTTTCTTTTTTTTTTTTTTTTTTTTTTTTGAGACGGAATCTCACTCTGTTGCCCAGGCTAAAGTGCAATGGTGCAATCTTGGCTTACTGCCACCTCTGCCTCCCAGATTCAAGTGATTCTCCTGCCTCAACCTTCTGAGTAGCTAGGATTACAGGTGTGTGCCACCATGCCTGGCTAAATTTTGTATTTTTCAGCAGAGACGGGGTTTTGCCATGTTAGCCAGGCTGGTCTCGAACTCCTGACCTCAGGTGATCTGCCCGCTGCAGCCTTCCAAAGTGCTGGGATTACAGGCATAAGCCACCACGCCCAGCCTGACACGAGCTTTATAACAGTTGTTGTTGATGTTATTTTTATTATGCTATGGAAATGTACTGACATGTAAGGCAACACCTATTATAGTACCTGACAGACAATAAGTGTTCAGTGTGTGTTTGATGATTGAATGAGTGAATGGATAATTCCTAAGTGTCAAATGATTAATTCAGACAATAAGACCAGTAGGGACTATAAAGAGGGTTCCAGGTGCTCAGAAAAGGTTTCTGGAGGACAGAGGAATTTTTAACAGGTCTTGGAAAATGGTTTAGGGTTTAGATGGAGGACATTCCAGGTAGCAGCATGGGCTACCAGGATCATAAAGTGCATTGGTAAGGACTTTTCTGTTTAGCTTTTCAGAAGCAACCAGGACACTGCCAGGTACATGGTTGAGACGTAACAGCATGCTATACAAATAAAGGAATGAATACATATGCATAGTTCATATAAGGAAAAAGGGAAAGATGATCCTAAGAATCAGAGTATGGAGGTCTGGAGTTTCAAGGCTAAGCAAAGTGGACTTGATCTTGTCATTGATGGGAGACATTGAGGGTTCATGGGCAAAAGAAAAACCCAAGGAAGATGTTATTGAAGAAGATTATTTTTGCAATACTGTGAACGAGATGGATCAGGGGGAAAGAGACGGAGGCACAGAGTTCAGTTACAGGGGAAGGACCTACATTAGTATCATGGCAGTGGGAAAGAAAAGAAAAAAGAGGATTGAACAGGCTTCAGTGATGGATGAGATCCTTTAGGAGAGTGGTGGATGGGAGACTGGGGGAAACAGTAACAGAAATAGGAAGGTGGGATGGAGTAGGGGGATGGATTCAAGGTGGTGGGGATAATAAGTTCTGTATGACACATAAAGAGCTGAAAGGAGGAATCAGTCAAGCAAAAGATCCAGTGTGCCCTTAACAATGTAAGACTACAGTCTGAGAGAGAGTCAGGACAAATATTAATATAAGGGCTTCTCACAACCCCATTCATAGATGAGAGGGTCAGCACCTGTGTCAGTGAATGACACCTCAAAGGAAAAGGGGTTGGAGCCCTGAGTCTTAACCTGGGAGGAGTGGGGAAATATTAAGATATCCTGGAGGTTCTTTTTTCCAAGCATATTCAACATTAAGATATAAATGTTGAAATAATTTTACATTCAAAAAAAAAGGAAAAGGAACTATATGGCTTTCCAACATAAATTATAGAAAATAATGCTCAAAAAATCTTAACTGAGTAGGATATAATTAGCAACAAAGGAAACAGAGTCTATGCTAGGCATGCATTCTGTATGTTGTAGATGAGGAAGGGGTAAAAATGAAGATGGACCTTCTAGTCGACCTCAGAAACGGGGTCAAAATGCATGCCCATCAGCAGCAATCTCCCAGGTCACACTGCCAGCCCTAGGACAAGCACCCTGGCTGGTTTTGGAGTTTGGCATTTATTCTGGGTTTGATATTCCAGGGCTGCCAAAAGAAAAGGCACAGGCTAAAACGGGGGCTCATGGAAGCAGAGGGGACCACACCTTTCCAAAACAGTCTCACCATCGGCTCTGGCTTTGAACAGATCTTCAGCTATGACTCAAAATGCAGCACCATTAAAGTTCAGCTAAGGAAATTAAGAATTGCCAATGTCAAATTCTTATGGAACTACAATTCCTTTTTTAAAAAATAATTACAAAAATATAAGAAAGCAACGGAAGTGTCTCCCGTTTGATGTCACACCCTGAAAAAGTGCTACTCCAGCTGGATCCCAACAGGATGTCTGATACTTTTGACCCTTCCACCTCCCTCTTTCTAGTCCTGTTAATATATTCCACCCTTCTTGTACCTGCCTATCTGTGGCGCACAGGTTCTCAGGGTACATAGAGGAATAAGAGGAGAAAAAGATCACCAGGAGATAAGGCATACAAAGTTGAAATTGCCTTAGAATAGACTGCAAATCATATGTAAATTATATGCAAAGTACACGTAAGGCCCTCTAAACTATGTTACACCCTTTGGGAAAATCCCCATGGAGATAGCTATAGCTGCTTTTGCAGCTCGGGAAAATGGAAATGGCTATGAAAGCAAAGTCATTTGTAAGCGGCTGTGGCCATCATGAAGCCTGTCATGAGAATGACTAATACAGAGAATAGAAACCATTTACTGAAACAGGCAAGAGGAAGATGTAATGTTCAGGAACCAGGCCAGAAGTTGAAGGCCTCCATCATTTAAGCTAATATTGTCTCCCCCTTAAATCTATAATATCCCACCCACCTCAGATGGTTTTCAAATCCATTCTTCTTTCCTTCACCCTGGCTGGGTAATTGGCAAAAGCATTTCGGGGAAGGAAGGAAGTCACTCACAAGGGGAGAAAAAAAGAAAAAGATTCAGAAAAGACGAAAAAAAAGTTATCTCTGCCAAGACTTTTATTTCACTCGCTTTCAGAGTAACTTTTATCTCAGTGAAAAATCCACATATATCATCTCTTTTTTTCATAGCGAAGTAGAGAAATTAAATGTCACTAATTGCTGCAAGTGCCAAGTGCCAACGATGAATTCTTATGAAGCCACAAGGACTTTTTAAAAGAGTAATTACGCAAAATCAGAAGGTCATAGAAACATTCACCTGATGTTTCTGGAAGAACTCAGTAGATACTGAAGGGGGAAGAGGGTGGGCCCCCAAATTTGCAGAAGCCAAAAGTGTCTGTAGGGTGACCAGGAATTTGGAAAAGAGAGAAAAGGGAAAAAAAGTCATGTTGTTCAATTTGCATTTTAAAGAGGAAAGTGGCTTGATAACCCTCCCAAAAATGACCTGGGAAAGGAAGAATTTCATCTTCCAGTTGAAATACACATCTTAGCATTTTAAGCACTAAAGAGACGGAATTCAGTTAACTTGGTAAAGAGAATTACAATAACAGCTAATATCTGCTGGTTGTTTATCACAGACGAGACATGGCTATGTGTTATCTCATTAAATACAGCTCTATGGGAAAGACATTGCTATACCATTAATTTTACACGTGAGAAAACCGAAGCTGAGAGCTAAAGTCACACTACCTTAGTGAGGGGTGAAGTGAGGACTCTGCACCAGCAGATGGACTTTCCAGCCTGTGATGGTAACCATGACACCAGTTACCCCCTCTAGTTCAGTGCTAATGGAGAAGAAAGGAGACATATCTCAGAGAATCCAGAAGCAGAAAATCATGCCTAGACATCAGCTTCATTTATGACCCTGGCTCAGCATGGTTTAAAGGGCCCTGGGAAGCCCTTTTAAATGGCTGTCTTCTCCCTTTCCTCAATCCTCATCCACAGAATCTACTAAAACATGAAATTCTTCCTTTCCCAAGTTATCTAGTGGCATAAAGCCACTTCTCTCTTTAAAACGCAAATTTAAACATGAGACCCACTCAGACTCCTCAGTCACGGATACTGTCATGTATGAGATCATCAGGCCAGCCAGGTTAAAGGTCTCTCATCCAAGACAGGGGCATGCACAGGAGCTTTTGAATGGAGAAACTCAAGAGACATGCAGACTGAAGAAGTCTGCCACCATGGGCAGGAGGCAGGGCACAGGAGACAGCGTGGGATTGAGAAGAATGTTTACAGGAAAGGGGAAGGGTTAGAAAAAACCTTCTACCTAAGTCCCCCTTTTTTTTTGAGACAAGGTCTCACTCTGTTGCCCAGGCTAGAGTGCAGTGGCACAATCGTGGATCGTGGCTCACTGCAGCCCTAAACTCCTGGGCTCAAGTGAACCTCCCACCTCAGCCTCCTGAGTAGTTGCGATTACAGGTGAAATCCATAATTTTGTCTCAGACCAGCCCTTCCCTGAGTAATTCCCTGACCTTCACTGTGAACCTGAATCTACTTTTTCTGCCCAGGGTTCACTAGTTCCTTACAGCAGAGCCTAGGCCTGCTCCACATTTGGATCAATGATGTGTCTGAAGACATTCATGGCATGCTGTCTTGATGTTGTGATGACCTCAACCTGAAAATAACTAATTTGTTAGATATAAGAATTAGGGTCCAAAAGGATGAGAACAGGCAAAAGTGAAATTTAATTTTAAGGGCTAAATGTAAATTTTGGCACTTAAGTGCAATCCTCTACCTACCAGAATAAAAATGTTCAAAAGTCTCACCTTTTCTCAGCATTGTCTATACCAGATATAGGGTTTTGGTTCAGTGTATGTTGCCATACATTAGGGGAGGCATTAGTCAAGTGGAGTATTAATTCCAAAGGAGAATACCTAGGACCATGAGGGACCCAAAACATGTCAACATGCAGAACAGCTCAAGGAACTACTATGTGCAGCTAACTTTGTAAAAAACTCATGTAAGAACATGAGAGCTACCATTGAGCAGTTTTGTTTTGTTTTGTTTCTTTTTGAGATGGAGTCTCACTCTGTTGCCAGGCTGGAGTGCAGTGGCACAATCTCAGCTCACTGCAACCTCTGCCTCCCAGGTTCAAGCGATTCTCCTGCCCCAGCCTTCCCAGTGGCTGGGATTATAGGTGTCTGCCACCACGCCCAGCTAATTTCTGTATTTTTAGTAGAGACGGGGTTTAACCATGTTGGCCAGGACGGTCTTGATCTCTTGACCTCGTGATCTGCCCACCTCGGCCTCCCAAAGTGCTGGGATTACAGGTGTGAGCCACCACGCCTGGCCCCCATCGAGCGTTTTTAAAGTTGTACATGCATGATGGAAAAAAAAAAACAAGCACATTTGGCATGAACAGAGAGTAAAATAATAAGGGAAATTTTATTTGCCAGAAATGCCATAAAAAAGAGTCAGAATGAGGTTGTAGGAGATAATTACCAGAAAGTCCTCCCAACTCTAAGATTCTTTGCCTCTATGAATTCTGATGATCTCCAAAGACACCAAGCAACATATTGGGCAGGACTGTATTAAACTGCTGATAGGTGACTTGTTTTGACCTATAAAAATGGTGGTTTAAATGGCTGAAATCCCCTGAGAATGCTACCCATAATCAGAATGGCAGACTTCAACAATAGCCTGTCACCACTACAGCCAAGCTATACAAAGCTTCAAATAATCACCTAACAGCAATTATGAGCTAACACTCAGGATAATCATATAGGATTTACATACAGGATTTTGGCTTTTATGCAAGCTTTACACAGCACTGAGAATGGATCGAATTGCTGGACTGATGATGATGATGATTTCCAGAGACTCAGAAGAGAGAGATCCTGCTGCTAATTCTCCAAGATAGGGGTTGCCCAGATTCCAGCCTCTGGGTTTTGCCCTTCCATGATACTACCATGTTCAGTCCTCACCACCTAGCCTTTTGTACCATGTAATCATACCAGCCCACTCACTGTTTGCCACTAGACCAATATTGTTCTTATGGCAAGGTGGCTGGACTGAACAGAAAGGGTTTCTTCCTATCATGCCCATGAGTAACCAACAGCTTCTGTATGGCCTAACTACAGTGTAGGGGAAAGAATGTCTCCAGCATATTCCCAAGCTATTCCATCTCTTAGTGGGGAAGGAGTGGTGAGGCTTCCTCATGCATTAATGCTGTGGAAGACAGAGAGACAAAGGTAGTTATGCCATCACTCTAGGGGCCAAAGGAGCAGCAGTAATGACTTTTAGAAAAGAATCATTCCAAAGGAAAGAAAGTCTTTGCTCTCCAGCTGTCATGAACTTCCCTAAAATAGTTCTTCATTGATGAATGACATGAAGCTAGAAGGGACAGCTGATGTGCTAGATAAAAGCACTGCACCCACATAGATCATGGTGTGATGGATTTTTAAAATCCAAAGCTGGATTTAACAAAGTCAAAGAATGATCCCAAGCTTTAGTTAAATAAACCAACTGCACAAGTCCAGGAAAGGGAGAGAAATGGGCACAAAAATAGTAAAGACTTCCACTGACATTACAATAGTAAAGACTTTCACTGACATTAAGTTCAATTAATACTATAATCTTTTTTTATTAAGGCTAAGGTGTTTGGTGCTGTCATTAATAGATATCTAATCTAGAAAAAGGGAGTCCAGGCCAGGTGCAGTGGCTCACACCTGTAATCCCAGCACTTTTGGAAGCCGAGGCGGGTGGATCACCTGAGGGCAGGAGTTTAAGACCAGCTTGGCCAACATGGCAAAACACTGTCTCTACTAAAAATACGAAAGTTAGCCAGGTGTGGTAGTGGGTGCCTGTAATCCCAGCTACTCAGGAGGCTGAGGCAGGAGAATCGCTTGAACTTGGGAGGCAGAGGTTGCAGTGAGCTGAGATTGCGCCACTGCACTCCAGCCTGGGCAACAGAGCAAGACTCCATCTCAAAAAAAAAAAGGGGGAGTCCTGAGACCACTCTATAATGAACTGAACTGATCCCAATCATACTCATAATACTGTATGTGGTGTGGGCATCCTTCTTTGGAAAGGATGCAAAAAATAAAATGTGTCATTTTTCAGAGAACAATGACCTGGAAGAAAGAATTAAAACCCCTTGTAGGAGAATGCTTAAAAAAAAAACTGGAGATGTTTTAGCCTTTAGAAAAGAAGATCCTTAAAGGCAAAAGCCCTGTCTTCAAACACTAGGAGTGTAATTAGAGCTATTCTGTGTGTCTCCAAGGGCTGGAAGCCATACAGGTGGTGGAGGCTATAGCAACTAGAGATAAGAAAGAGCTTTCAAATGTTCAGTGCTGTTGGAATGGAATGGAAAAGCTAAAGGAGCAATGAGTTGCTCATCTCTGAAAGGGTCCAAGCCAAGTCTGAATCAACTCTTACAGAAGAGATTCAAAAATTAGGTGCACAGAGAGCCTTGACAATCTATTGGGCCTCTTCCTTCCTTGAAATGCTGATTCTAACCACAGGTTTATGAGCACCTACAATGTGGCAGGTAGTGGGGATACATGCATGGATAAATCTCTGTTCTCAAAGAGTAAGACACTGCTGCCCTTCAAGTGCCCACGGTAGCAGATAAGGGGGCCAGAAAATACACAGCTGACTATGGTGTATCATCATGATGGCTTTACTAGACCTATGGCCTAAAAGCCATGGGGAACTCAAAGGAAGATCATCATCCCATCTTCCCTTCTACTTCCTCTTCACAATCTCCCACACTACTCATGATATATGTGGGAGTATAAAATTATGGTGAAGAGTGAAGCTTTCAGGTCCCTTCATCTTCAAGATGACTTTATTTTAAAACAGTGATTCTCAAACTTTGGTTGTATTAGAATCACCTGGGAGAACTATCCTAGTTTAGTGAGCCTGGATCTCATTCATTAGCTCTCCAAGTGATTCTGATGCATACCAGAGTTTGCAGACCACTGCTCTCAATAATCCAAAGCCTGGATTCAAATTCCAGCTCCACCTCTCACTAATGGTGGGACTTCTGAGCAAGTTAACTTTGCACTTCCTTCTGCCTCTCATCTGAAAAATACCTGTAAAATTTCCTGCCTCTCATCTGCAAAATATCCTTTCAGAATCACTGTGACAGTCACATGTAACCACACATGGAATACACTTAGCACAGTTCCTAGCACACAGGAAGGGCTCAAAAGCATGTAGTTATTGCTGCCATTATTTAGGGGACTGGTCTATCTAGGTCCTCTCTCTGCCCTGCCCTCCATCTCTTGCCAACACCATTTCTCTAATAAGCTGGCAGCATTAGCGGACCACCTGCCCAGTGCATCCTCAGATGCCTCCCTACATCGTCACAGTCAGCTAAGCTACCCCATAAAGGGACCCACTGCCCTGGACTCTCAGCTGCATTCCACCTCCTCACCCCTCCTGAGGCCTAGCCTAGCAAACTGACAAGCTTAGCCTCGTCCTTACCAGACCTCCCTAGGCAGGTCTGCAGACTGGGAGGGTCTCCAAGGCTGTCCCAAACTAGCTGTGTGGCTTAGCTGAGTCGTGTAGGAGGTCTGTTGCCTCATTTCCCCCTCCTGGACAGGGAGGGAACTGGTCTAGAATAGTCTCGCAATGGTCTCATCAATGACATTTTGAGCAGCACAAAACTTTGAATGAGGCTCTTCTGCATATCACAGCACATTTAACATTCATTATCCCTTCCTTCTAAATGCCACTGCTGCCCTCAACACTGGAGCAACAAATAAACACCTCCGCCCATTTGGCAGGGTCAGGGGCAGGATACCACAAATGATTTTTCCAGCTAAAACTCTGGCCTTGCCCTCCAGAACTGGGAAATGAAATGTGACCATAACCAATACCCCGGTGGGTCTGCCTAAGACAATAAAGGAGGGATTTCTAACGGCTCTAGAAAAAAGCACCAAGGCCCAGTGATCTGCATCCCTGAGTGAGCCAAAGCTGGAGGCAGGTTGAGAAGCAGCTCCTTACTCACACTTACTCATCGAGAACAGCTACAGGAGCCAGGGGGGTCTTCCTGGGCCCCAGCCAGGCAATTGGCTGGGAATTGAGCACTGTTAGCCCAGCTGAGGGCCCCCTTCCAATCTAATTACACGCAATGGAGGTAGATTTCCCTGCAGCCTCCATCTCCCACTGAGCCAAGCCCAAGATGGGCACTGAATAAAGATTCATTCAATTACCTTCTGTCTCAGGGTGAACCCCAATAAAAAGCGGACTTTCTTTCAGCAGGATGTGGGATAAAACAAAGAGCTGAGTCCTAAGCACTGTTGATTCATTCAGGAAGTGTTTTTCTGTGCCTGCAATGTATTGTCAGAGTTCTAGGCTAAGAGGGCACAGTTGTAAACACCAGTGTACCTTTGTGAAGTGTACACTCTAGTGGAACTCCCTAGGAGATGTCTCCTGGGCCGCACCTACCAGGGTTTGCATTCTGTTCCACTACTTTTTACTGGGTTGTATCAGTGAGGTACTTATTGTACCTGAGCCTCAATTGGTTCATGGGTGAAATGGGCCAAATAGCAATTTACCTCCTAGGGATGTCAAAAACATTAAATGAGGCATGTAATACTTAATATTTCCATGCCTGGCTTAAAATACAAGCTCAACAATTTCAAGTGTTTTTTTCTCATAAAGTAATAAGGAAGAAAAGCAAGTAAGAGTATTGCCCCAAAGAATAGCAAAGAAAAAACAAAATATCTCATAGGTACTACTAGAGTTAGGAGGTTGAAGTCTTTGGTAATGGAGAAGGCATTCTCCTGGTTGCTATTCCCCAAGGTATCTCAGTCAGATGGTCTAAGCATACAGCCTCAGAATCAAAGAAGCCTGAAAGGTCATCTGATTCTAATCTATCAGGTTAAAGAAAAGAAGCCTATTGCCCAGAGAGGTTACATGACTTGCCCAAGGGCGTACACCTCCTGGGAAAAGTGGCAGAACTACCAAGCAGAATTCCAGACCTGCATTTACATTCTGAAACTTACCATCCCTGCTTCTGACCTTGGGCAAAGGATGCAATGTCTTGGAGCTCAAGGTTCTTCATTGGTGAAGTGGTAGGTGCCTGGCACACTGTGGGTTCTCTACAAAATATTGGTCTCCTTTGCCCCTTTTTACTGGTTCCTAAGCCCCACTTGAGAACAATGGCTGGGATCTAAGTTTGAGGGACCTCTTGACTGCAAGCACAAAGGGCAGGACAGATGGGAGAGAATATGAGACAGGAGAGAACAGCAGGTGTGTTTGGGGAGGTTCTACGGCACTGCACAGGAGCATGCCTCAAGACAATTAGGGAGACCAAGACACAGCTACAACGGTGGGTTGATTTTCCGTTTTTAAAAAAACCTTTCTGAGCCAAAGTATTTTCATCTATAAAATGGAAACATGTGCTTAAAGGATCAAATGGATAACTTATGTGAACCCCGAAAATCTGAGGTCTCAGTTAATTTAGAAAGTTTATTTTGCCAAAGTTGAGGACCCACTCTGACACAGCCTCAGGAAGTCAGCAGGACACGTACCCAAGGAGGTCCAGGCACAACTTAGTTTTATATATATTAGGGAGACATGAGATATCAATCAATGTATGTAAGAAGTACATTGGTTAGGTCTGGAAAGGCGGGACAACTTGAAGCAAAGGCAAGAAGAGAGGAGGGGGCTTCCACGTCACAGAAAGGTGAGAGATGAAGGGTTGCATTCTTTTGAGTTTCTGATTAGCCTTTCCAATGGAGGCAATCAGATATGCATCTATCTCAGCGAGCAGAGGGGTGGCTTTGAATAGGAGGCAGGTTTCCCCTAAGCAGTTCCCAGCTTGACTTTTCCCTTTAGTGATTTGGGGGCCCCAAGATTTATTTTCCTTTCACATTTATACTAATAGCTATTTTATATATGGCTAACTATGTGCCAGGCACTGTTCTAACACAAGCTCGAAACAACTCCATGAGGTAGGTTCTCTTATTGTCCCCATTTTGCAGATGAAAGAAGTGGAACCCCCACAAAGGTAAAGTAACTTGAATAGGTCACAGTGCCATGATAGAGACAGAGGTGGCAAACTTTTGTTTAATAAGGAGCCAGATTGTAAACACTTTAGAGGCTGTGAGGCTCTATCACAACTATGCAACTCTGCCTGTGCAGCTCAAAAGTAGCCGAAGACAGGCCAGGTGAGGTGGCTCACACCTGTAATCCCAGCACTTGGGGAGGCTGAGGCAGGTGGATCACAGGTGGTCAGGAGTTTGAGACAAGCCTGGCCAACATGGTGGAACCCCGTCTCTGCTAAAAATACAAAAATTTGCTGGGCGTGGTGGCACACACCTGTAATCCTCGCTACTCGAGAGGCTGAGGCAGAAGAATTGCTTGAACCCGGGAGGCAGAGGTTGCAGTGAGCTGAGATTGCACCATTACATGCCAGTCTGGGTGACAAGAGCGAAACTCCATCTCAAAAAAAAAAAAAATGTTAGCCAGAGACAATGCATAAAGGAATAAAGGAATAGGTGTGGCTATGTTCCAAAAGAACTTTACGAGCATGGAAATTCAAATTTCATAAAATTTTTGTCTTACAAATTGTTCATCTTCTGACTGTTCCCAGCCATTTAAAAATGTAAAACCCATTCTTAGCTTTCAAGCCATACAAAACCAGGCTGCAAGCTGGATTTGACCCTCAAGCTATAGTTTGCCAACTCCTGCTCCATCCTATGCTATCTTGCCTTACATCTACATGAAAGATGTAACATGTCAGACAGAGTGTGCCTGAACAGTGACCAGCGCAGACTAAGTGGTCAGTAAGTGTTCATTCTCGTTCCCTTCCCTAATCTCGTTCTTCTTCTTCCTCCCCACAACCAGATCAGATATCTCATTCTGTGCCCAGCACAAGAGAGGAAGACGAGGGCTTTCGCAAGGTGAACCGCAACTTCTCAGTAAAGACAGCCCTGTTGGTCCCAAATGGGAGGAGAGAGTGGGAATTTGAGCTCAGTGTGGCTCAAACTTTAATGAGTATACACCTAGAGGTCCTGATAAAATGCAGATTCTGATTCAGCAGGCCTGAGAATCTGCTGGTCGGTTCTGCAGGTCGCCCTGTGAGCAACAAGCTTCAAGTGCATCCCCTCTGTGTCCACAAACAAAAGTCAGACTAGAGCTGTCTCCAAGCTTTGGGTTCAGGCTGGACTGAGTGGCTCCCTGGAGACAGGGCAAGGCCCAGGACACATAATCAGGTCCCCTCCCCAAGGACAGCCTGAGATGACTTACAATGGAGGAGGAACACAATACGGGGCGGAGATCAAGAGCGGGTAGGGGAAGGCTCCAGCAAAGGTATCTGTTCCTTTGGCAACAGCAGACGGAGGCCTCCTGGGGGCCCAGCAGACAGGAGCCCCTCCCACAGTGCCTGCCAGGGCTCTGATGGATGGAAGCAGGAGGCCTATTTCCTCATCGGGCCTCTGAATAACTAGGGCACTTCCACAAGGTCACAGTTATTCATTTAAATTCCAGGTCTAATCAGCAGGCAGAGCCTGAGAAATTATCCCTTCGGAGGAGAGAGGCTGTCATTGGAGCACCATAAACAGCCCCTCCAGGCAGGAGGGAGAAGCACTGGGGGAGGGGAGAAGAAGGGTCTCACACCCAGAGGTCCCAGAATTGTTCCCTGTGCTCTAACCCACTACTCTTCCCTCTTCCTCACCTCCAAATGGCTTCCAGAGAGTTCTAGAACAGGCAAAAAGCAGGGGAAGGTTAAAGGCAGGGCAGAGATGCCCACCTCTGCCCTACAAGCAGCCCAGGAAGACCAGTGACAAATCCCAATGTACAAAAGCATGGGATAAGGCACCTGACAGGGGTCCCTGCCAGGCCACAAATGGGTAACATGGCCTTGGATAGGTCCTTTCCCTTCTTGGGCCTCAGTTTGCACTCCTTGGACAGGATACCCTTTAAGCTCCACCATGTCTTGGAACCCTGCAAACTCAAAACTCCCCATGTGCTTGTGGCCATACTTCTTGTTCAATAGAGATTTTTGAGGTTAAGCTCTGTGCCATGTGCTGTGCAAAGAGCTGGGAATGCAGACACAAATAGGACACAGCCTGGCCCACAGCTCTGTCATGTGAAAGGCAGGGTCTGGAAGAACAAGAGCACAAGCTTTGGAGGCAGACAGATCCGGGATCCTGGCCTAGTCACCAGCAGGAGGTGACCTGGGCAAGTTACTGAAGCTCCCTGCAGCAGCTTTTCTCCATCTGTGCTGAGGATGGTAACATCAACCTGGAGGAGCTGACATGGAGGGTTAAGAGAATGTCAGAGCTGGGCTCCCGGGCCCTCTTCAGCACCTGCCAAGTGCTTATTGTTACTGTTATTATTCTGAACCTCCTCCCCAAAGGTTACAAGCAGGGAATGTGGATTTCACCCCATGAAGTGGAAGAAAATGTGCCTGCCCCTTTTTCCTGGGTGCCCTGGGCTCTTGCTCCAAGTCCCTAACCTGTCTCTGGGACCTTGGGAAAGGTGTTGCCCACCAGGCCCCATCTCAGACTGCTTTACAGTAGGGTTACTTCTAACTCATCTCCTCCACATGTAAAATTAATCAATTAATCAATCATCCCTTTATAGTCTTCCAGCGGCCTCTGGGTAAATAGTTACATTAGCTCATAAAATCCCCAACTTGACTTCCTGAGGGGAAGGAAAAAAGAGTCAGAGAACTGCTGAAGGCTTCTTGTTTCAGAACCACAGCGCTGTCGGCTCCAGAATGCCTGGCAAGGGGCTCAGAGAGGCAGGAGGCCCCCACTGACCTCAGCCAGGGCCGGGCACGCTCAGGCCACCTCCTGCCATGTCCAGGGCCCCAAGTGAAGGGTCCAAACCAGTGATTTGCTTCAGGCTCAGAAACCACAAAAAAGCAAGGGGTTGGTGGGGCAACAAGATTGGTAATCAGCCCTTGACACTTCGAGGAAAGAATGAAGAGCACAAGATCTGAAATTAGGCTGCAATCCCCTCTTGGCCCTGCCACTCAACAGCTGGGTGACCGTCACACATCATTTAACTTCCCTGGGCCCCAACTTCCTCAACACTGAAATGACACTCGGGCTACACACCTCAGAGGGATAACAGAACAAAATGAGACAACAGCCATGAAATTGAAATGGTGTGGGCCAGGCTGGTCATAGTTGCTGTTATCTGAGGAAGGGTATTCCTCAGACTTCTACCCCTTTGAAAGGATGGCAGAAGGCCTATGGGTCCACTGCATTTCACTCCACCATGTTATCTCACCCAGGACCAATATGGCGCCTGTGTGAGCACTAGAAAAAGATGCCCCTTTTGTCAGAGGCAGCCTCATGGGCACAAGCTTGGCAAGAGGAACACAGGTTGGATTCATACCCCCATTCACCCCCTTGGCTGGGAGACCCTATGCAGGGCCCAGCTCTATGTGGTGACCCCTGGTCACTTCTCTGCTGGGAACCAGAAAGAGAAGCCGCCACGTGGCACTTTACAAACAAAACGAGGTGTTGGACTTACTCCCTCGCTTCCTTGAGGTTTCCCAGCAAATATCATCTTATCAGAGGGTACTTCCCTGACTACCTATTGTAAATTAGGGACTTCTCCTCTATCCTGCTTCAATTTTCTCCACAGCACTTCCCATCCACCCCCTGATACTATACATATGTAATATATACATAACATGCATATACAAAACATGCATATACGTGTGTATATATGTATGCATATAAAGCATATGTATATATACATAGATATGTGTGTGTCTGCGTGTACATTTTAGATCATTGTCTGCCTCTGTCTAAAATAAAAGGTCCATGAGGGCACTGAATGTCTTCTGTTTTGTTCACTGTTTTGTCCCCATGGCCTAGAACAGTTCCTGGAACATAAATATTTGTTGACTGAGCGATTGAACTAAAATATTATTAAATAGAAATAATAAACTTAATGGCATCTTCCTAGGAAATGCTGTCCTGGGCTTTGGTTCAAACACCAATTATTTTCAAAGGTAGGGAGCAGGCAGGAAGAAATGGAGAGAAACTCTCTGCATTAAGTAGAATAACTGTATTCTACTTTTATGTTGTGTAAGATCCCACACAGAACAATGATCAGAAGAACCCTACTTAAGTCTGGTTGATTATTTTAGACATTTAAGAACAATAAAAAGATAAATTCATTTGGAAAGAAGGCTGCTAATAAAGAAAATGTCAAGTATCTCTAAGCAAAAACAAACAAATAATCAATAGTCTCATTAGGAAATACTTACAAAATCTTTAATCACTGAGAATTTTCACTTACAGGTCCCAGCATGTTCCAATGGAGAGTCAGAAGTTCAAATCCCAGTGCTACCACTGACAAGCTCTATGATCGTGGGCAAAACTGCTTAACCTAACAGGCCCTAAATTTCCTGTACATTAAAATGAATATAATGATACTTATCTCGTATTAATGCTATAAAAATTAAATATTAAAAGGACTAAACAAGAAAACATGTGAAAACACCTGAAATGATGCTCCCTTCCTATTTGGTCAAGTTAATTATTCTTTTTAACTCAAAGTTCTAGCCAGTTCAGAATAGTCTCCAAACCATTCTAAGTCATCTGACACTTATCCATAAATGCCTGCATCAGTTCACATGATTCTATGTATGTGTGTGTGCATATATATTTGTCTATACACACGCAATGCTTAAAACCAGGACTCTGGATGAAGACACACTTTAAAAAGAGAAATGCATAATTATTATAAACGTGGTTCTTTAATTTTTCCATTGACAAAAACCATTTATTCAAACCATCCTGCTTTTTTTTTCCACAGTGAGCATGTATTATTTACATAACCAGGAAAAACAATAAATATTGCTGGTTTCATTGTGAAAAAGACATTTCTGAGAATAAAAAGAAAGAAACCTCCTTTCACCCACATCACATTTTCCATGCTACGTATGTCATATCTTCTGCTTTCAACCACATGAAGCTAGAGAAGATAAGCAGATGTGTGAAAGACAAAGCTAACGTTGTTCATTAAATTGGAGAATACATATCTAAGAACAACTTTACAAATACTTTCCCAAAAATGTTCATTTTCTGAATCACCCAGAAATACTAATGAGAAGGAAGTGATTATATTAAGTATGAGAACCATATTCCTTTGGCTTTAAAATGGTTCTTCAAAACCAATACAAATCCATTAATTCAATGCATTTCTTCTTCTAAACCTAGATCAGTGAAAATGCAATACACTTAGAATTTTGTCTCTATAAAAGTCTCACTCAGACTCAAACCATGCACAATCTAGCAGAGGGGAAATTCCCACAGCAGCTGTGCAAACACAAAGACTCACCTGGATCTTGACTGACATCTGTGGCAGCATTTTCAAAGGGAGGGAAAGGGAGAGAGGAGAGAAAAGGGGAGAAAAAGGAAGAAGAGTGTTAGCAGCACACACACACACAATGCAATGTGCTCTTGCATGACTATCAAGTTCATGCAAGCCCCAGAGGTACTCAGCTTCTGAGCACTTAGTTCCACCTTCACCCAAAAACCACCCATGCAAGCCGAGGGGCCAAGCTCCCTTTTCACTTTGCATGTAGCAAGAGAGGTAAGCTTCACATCTGTCCGGAAAGACATCATCCTGGAATCAGATAGGGCTTCAAAGAGCCAAGCAGACTGGAATCCTGCAAGAATATTGGTTAAAATATTCTGGTTGATTTCTGCACACTGACACCAAAGCAAATCCTCCTCCTCCCCGTCTTTGGATACCAAACACTGGACATGAAGTCAAGCAAGGTTTCCCAGCAGAGAGAAAAAGTAAAAATGAACCACTCCCTTGAGAAACAAAGCAAAAGAGGCATAAGAATTAAGAGCAAGTTACAGATTTATTCACCACATAGGACTGAAGGACATAAGGTCACAAAATATTTACAATTCCCCGCCTCCCCAGTACACCCAGTGACCACGCTTCATCACAGACAGCAGTGTGTGTGCATGAGATTGTGTGTGAGTAGATCATTCATCAAACAAATTGAAATCCTGCCTCCTACTTTAATTTTTTTCCTTGCTTTTCACCCTAACACTAATGACAGAAATTGCCACTTGAAATCACTTTTGACAACTACGAATAAACACCCAACCCTAGACAGGTTGACATTTGAATTAAGCCAATGAACTTTCAGAAAATGAAGAACGGTTCGCGCCTATCAGCCCCATGAACAACATAATCTCCTCCTCCTTCCCTCAGATGTGAAATAGAATCGGGCTGGGGAAGCATAACCCAGAGCAGCCCAAGGCACTGTTAAAACCCCTAGACCCAACCTGAGAGGATATACCACAGCAGAGGAGAAGGAACAAGGGGCTGCTTCAGGAAACAATGACCAACCTGGCAGTCTTGGATAGCTCACTTAGAATCACTGAATGGTGGATCTGGAGTAGCCACAGACACTAAGTACCTAGTTTAGTTCTTTTTTGTTAAGATGGAGGATGAAAAAGTAGAGAGACTTATATAAGGTCACACAGCTACTTCAGGGGCACAGACTAGAAAATATCCTAGATCTCTTGCATACCACCTAGTCCATCATTCATTCAACTGAAGCCTAGGTCCCTCAAGAGCATACAGGACCTGAATTTGGTTTGCAGATTAAAGTGATCATGCTGAAGCCATGGGGAAGCTGGGTGAGCGTCTCCCACCTGCCCTATGAGTGGGTCATGGTTTATTCTCTGTGCCTCTAATTTGCTGCCTGAACAGGATGGGTAATGTTCTTCATGCCAACCGATAATGAAACACCTGCAATCAGATTTGTAAAGCTCCAGTGTGTCCTTAGGGCCCTTGCCCCAGGAAATCCAGGTGCTGACCAACTAAGCTGTGCCCCAGAATGAACATACCCATAGCAACAGCTGAGCACTTCTCTAGCCCCCACCTTGCCTCCCCTAGAAGCTGTATCTGCCCAAAGAAACTTCTAGAAAGCTCTGAATCATGCCTCAGCCACACCGCCCCTTCAGGTTTTCTAGTGTGTTAGATTTAGGGATGAATGGCAGGAAGAAGAGAAGAGGTGGAAAGGGAAAAAGTGTTGTATAAATAACTAGGCGGGTCCATTAACTGTTACTGATGGATTGCCTGGAATAGATGTTAAAATACCCCTTAATTAAACAGGATATCAAACTATTTACATGTGGCCGAGTTCTGTGGCAGAAGAATGTCAACACCATTGTTCATACAAATAGGCTCCTTGGGGACACCAAGTCACAGGGAGACAGAATTCCTTGGAACTCCAAAGGTTTTTCGATACTGGTTACTTGCCCATTTGGGGATGTGATTACAATCTTAAATTTCAGAGGCGGACAGGTCTGGGTTCAAATCCCAGCCTCTCTGTGGCCTTGGACCCATCATTTAACTTCTAAGAGTCATCTTCCTTGGCTATAAAATGAGAATGATATCAGAGCCTCCCTCATGGGGGTGTTATGAGAATTAAATGAGATTAAATGCTTGTAAAGCACTGAACTAAGTACAATGCTACATAACGTTAGTGACTCTGATTGTCATCACTTTGAATTACCACAGACGGAAATATCAAAAAATATTGACCAGATGGCTCACTGGAAACACCAAGAGATCACAGGAATGAAGCCAGTGATTTTGGTTCCACTTTTCTACTTATGAATAAGGACATCTGCTCCCGATCTCCCCTCCCTCTGGTTCTTTCCCACCCCATTCCTCAGTGTGAAGTGAGGGGGCGAACAGAAGCAAGGATCAAAACAAATTCCATCCTTATTTCTTTTGTTTTCCCTCCTCAAGTCTCAATTTGGCATAGTTCTAGTCCTGTATGTAAAAATACTGCACCTATTCTTGTCAAAGAGGGGCAACAATCCCACCAAAAACAAACAAATGAACAAAATCTTCTGGCTGGGGATCAAGGTCCAAGCTCAGTTCCTAACTGTGGCACTGACCTGGAGGCAGGTCTGAGCATTATTCCAACTTTAGGAATAGAGACACATTATCACCTGGCCCCTGGCCCAAGAAGCAGTGAGTGACCTGAATCTCTGGACTCAATTCTGATTGACAGAACGAAATGGCAAAGGTAAGAGGTAGACGAAGGAGGGGGATGGCTAGCAGGTAAGGATCAAAACCTTAGCAGTGTCTATCTGCCAGACTGTCTATCCAGCATCCCTTTCCTCTTCTTCTTGTAGCAGTCCTCAGCTGTTTTCCAGGGAAAGCCCCCTTCCCAGCCTTAGCCCACGTGGTTTGCTAGAGGTGACCCCCACTCCCACTTGAGCTCCAAGGGTAGTAGTCATGTGACTCAGTCCAGGTCTTGAGAATATTCTATTTCCAATAATTGGCTCAGGAACAGACCTATGACCCAAGCCCAACCAATGAGAGTCTTCCCAGAGAATTTTACTGGAATTATCAGGAAATGGGGTGCTTTCATTTCTCTAGAGCTGCCATATTCCATTTTTGTTACCATGTGAAGACAGCTTACCTAAAAATATGGGGAGCATAGAAGAAAACAGCTTTTCTTAATAAGGGGATTAAGATGATCTAGAACCAAATCCTAGCTCTACCCCCTCATCTAGAGGCAACTGCCTTAGCTTCTCTGAGCCTCAAACTTATCATGTATAAATGGAGATACTAAAAGTATTTCTGCGAGTTTTATCAATGAAGATCATCTATTCACCATTCAATACCTATTGGCCGAGCATCTATCATAGGCTGAACTCTGCTTTAAACATTGGAGATACAAGCAGTGAATGAAACAGACAATACTCTTGGGTTTTAATGGGAATAAAAACAGATACATAATGTCAAATAGTGATTGGAGCCATGAAGAAAGGAAAAGTAGAGTAAGTGCCAGCAGAGTATCCCCATTTTAGAGAAGGTAGTTAAAGAGGTCTTTCTGAGGAAGTAGTATTTGAGCTGATACCTGAAGAAGGTGAGAAACACTCTTCTGTATACCTGACAAAGACTACTTAGGCAGGGGAATAGCAAATGCAAAAGATCTAGGCTGTACCTGTTCAGTTAGTTATTTCTAAGTTATGATAGAAAAACTGAGGACTGGCTCACATTACTCCCACCTTCCTAGCTCTACCATTCACACACGTCCTCAGTAGGTAACAGGTACTCAAGAAATATTCAGGGGGAAAAAGTAATCCTGATGAAAACTAGCTCTGTCCCAGTTGCAGCCACCTCCCTTAGGATCTCCATGCTCTAAACAGTAGGAACAAAACAGGAAAGAAAGAATTGGAAACCCACTTCCGTCTTTCACCCACTCTCTTCAGCATCACAACCAGGCAAGAAGGAAATTAGGGTATTCCTGCCTCCACTCTGAATCCCATGGACACTTACTGCATATTCAACAATAACTTCAGCCACAAGTGCATATGCTCAGCATGGTCATCCTCAAGTCCAAGGGAAACAATTTTCTGCAGTTTGGGGAACCTGGTTCTTCTAACCTGATACGGTTTTGCTGTGTCCCCATCCAAATCTCATCTTGAATTGTAGTTCCCGTAATCCCCACAAGTCATGGGAGGGACCCAGTGGGAGATAATTTAATCATGGGGGCAGTTACACTCATGCTGTTCTTGTGGTAGTGAATAAGTTCTCACAAGATCTGATGGTTTTATAAGGGGCTTTTCCCCCTTTTGCTCAGCACTTCTCCTTCCTGCCACCATGTGAAGGACATGTTTGCTTCCCCTTCTGCCATGATTGTAAGTTTCCTAAGGCCTCCCCAGCCCTGCAGAACTGAGAGTCAATCAAACCTCTTTTCTTTATAAATTACCCAGTCTCAGGCATTCCTTCACAGAAGCATGAGAACAGACTAATACATAACCATTGGGAGGAAAAGAAAGGGCCCATCATTCACCACTATTGCACTTGCAGAAGCTAGCTCAGCCGGGGTAGTCCTCCCACCTCACTCTTCATTTGTACTAGATCATTTGGACGGACAGGTATGAGTCCAAGATTCTCCTGACTTGCTACTTCAACTCCCCCATGCCTCTGGAAGAGCTCTGGGGAGCATGGGACAGGCTGCACAGCCAGCCTCCTGTAGGCGAGTCCCAGTCAAACCTTCTGGGACCCCACCTGGTGAACTCTGCCTTGAGTCTGACCTATTTTCTAGGAGAGAAAATAGAATACAGATTTAAATGCAGTGGCGCTCTGGAAAACTACAGGCCCATCAGTATGAGAAAATAAAACAGCAGGAGGTAGCTGAAGAAGTGTGCTGGCACAGGGGAAAATGCCACCACCCCTAGATCAATCTTACCTGGTTTGTCAACTGCCTTTTCTTCTGCAATCTGCCCCCACTTTTTGTCTATTAAAAGTTGATACACACATATGTATACACACATATTTACCTATGTATTTCCTCTGGCCAGTCCTGGGGCTCTAGGCTGCTCCTCCATACACAGACCCCAGCTGGTCTAACAGGAGCATCCACAGGCAGAGGGAGCTGTATAGATGAGACCCTCAGAAATGGGGAGGCAGCAAGGCAAGGAGTCAGAAACACCTGCAGCTGCGTCCCTTCTGTGTCTGTCTGCCTTCCTTCTGTGTGACAAGAGGAAAGGTTTGGGGTTGATTTTTATAATACTCTTATCCTCTCATATATGAAGGTAATAAAATCACCAGCTGACATTGACTGAGGGCTGTCTATGTGCTAGGCACTGTTCTAAGTGCCTCACAACAACCCGATGAGGTAGGAACTATTACCACACTCATTTTACAGATAAGGAAACTGAGGCACAGAAAGCTTAGGTAACTGGCCAAAAGTCACACAGCCTGTGGAGCCAGAACCTGAATCCTGGACATCCAGCTGTGGATTCCCCTTTCTGTCAATTACCATTCTGGCAGTATCAGCCCATCAGAGGGTGAACGTGAGGACAAAATGGGATAAAAGCAATATTAATCCTAATAAAGCTCATATTTATTAAGCATTCTCTGTGTGCTGTTATACAGGATGGGGTCTGTGTATGGGGAAGCAGCACTGGGCCCCAGGACTGGCCTGAGGAAATATCTATGCAAATATGCGTGTATACATATGTGTATATTGATTTTTTTAATAGACAAAAAGTGGGGGTAAATTGCCGAAGAAAAGACAGTTTACAGCCAGATAAGATTGATTTAAGGGAGTTGGCATCCTCCCCTAGGTCATATGCATCATCTTATTTAATCTTCATTAAAACCCTAACAGGTAGAAACGGTATTCATCCTATTTTACAGATAAGGAAACTAAGACCTAGAGAGGTTGCACTATGATTATACCTCTCAGACTCAGCAGCACATCAGGTAAGGGTCAAACTATATTTTTGAATGTAAGAGCAAACCAGGACAGAAACCATCTAACCCATGGAGCTACAAATTAGGTATGAGAATATTGGGCATCTCACAGAAGTAAGAAAAAGGTATTTCAAGGGACAGAGGAAAGGGGTAAAATGCAGTAATGCCGTAGGCCTGAGCAACTGGAGCCCCTGCCCTGGGCTATATGTTTTAGAGGGGCCCATTCTGTTCCTTCTGCAGCCACATCCCAGCCCAGGAACTGAAGAGTCCACAGATCAAATAGATGTTTCCACCTAGAGCCAGCAATACTTGCCCCACCCTTATAGAATATGCTCTGGTACCCAGAATTCCTCGCCCAATTGCTCCAAATCTAGATGGGCCTCTTCCCAGGGTCCATTCTCTCAAAGCAGACCAACCTACTGGTATGTGCACTCTAGTGTCAAAAAGTGGCCAAGAAGAAGCTGTCTGCAGGAGTTGTGGGCTTCTACAGGCTGGGGCGTCACATAAACGTGCATGAGGGCCTTCCTGGTGCTAGCAAAGAGAGAAGGGAGGCTGGCCACTGGCCTCCATGTATAGTCTTGCCTCAGGCCCTCAAATAGCAGGGCAGGCCTTCCACTAAAGATTACACTGAGCCATAACATTAGAAGAAAAAACAAAAAAAAAGGCAAAGACTGCACCTCCCCAGTGGCCTATTGACTCCTGCCCCCAGGAAAGATGAGCATAAGGTTTTCCCTTCTTCTTCAAGAACAAACACAGAAACAATTTTTTCAGTTAAGAACTAAAGCAAACTTCCAGCAGTGAGGAGGTTGTTTCCTTCGTTCTAGGGCTCTTTCTGGCTCTCAGTGTCTGAGCTCTTCAAACACAGGAAGAGTTGTCTCCATAAAAGGCCGGGTGGTGTTAGCTTTATCCCCGACATAAGGGTCCATTCATCTACCTTCATAGAGGACTGAGCCCCAGAGCCCTGGTGCTGTTTGCTTTTGTTCTTTGATGCTAATAACTCCAGATTGCAAGATGGAGCATCAGTAGCAGCTATATCAGGCACCAGTCAGCCTGGGCAGGCAGCGGCCAGGAGGGGAAGAGGAAGGACCAAGGCAGGCATTTCTGTGGGCCAGGTCACTGCTGTACTCAAACACCTTCAGGGGCTCTCACATACTTGCAGTGGCTCTGGCTTGAGGAAACAGGGTTTGACAGTTGCGAGAAGAGGCAATCTGGTTGTTACAGATATAATCAGAGATCAGTGCAGACAGCCCTTTTGTTTTTTTTTTTTTTTAAATGCTTTAGAAGTTTTGAGAACAGGCATGGGAGTAAGGTAGCCTGGGTTTGAATCCCAGCTTTGCCACTTGTCATTTAAAATATTTTTGGCAAATTTCTTAGGTTCATGGTCCTCTTCTGCCACACAGGAATAATGGTAGTAAAGCCAGTTCTGCCAGAAGCATGTATGCAATCCTAAAAGTCATTTTGCTGTGCAAAATCATACAGTAAAAATCACAGAGCTTAACCGGAAAGATGAAGTTGGGATGCAACACCTATAAACTTCATCAGTGACACGTAATAGAGGAAGCAGTTCTATACATGTTAAATCACTAAGAAGTACGTAAGTACTACAATAAATATGGCACTTTTAACAGACCTGAAGTTTGTCTGTGAAAATGGGAAGCTTATGAATCATTGTAAAGTGTAGGAGGAGGATCTCCTGGAATTGGACACAAAGTTGAAACATCATTTGTGGGGTGGGACTCATAACACACACGGTAGCTGAAGTTGCTGGTACAAGTTTGAGATGTGTGCACTTTGAGTGTTCCTACACAGCTTGCTTCTGCTGGCTGCAGTTTTCTGCCTTCACCTAGTGTTTCTTATGGACAAAATCCTGCATAATCAAAAGCGAAATTATTATGCTCAAAATGTTCCCTAATACATCAATTGCATTAGAACAAATTTGCATTTTCAAAACAAGTGTTGTAACAGAACTGATTGTCCCTAATTTATATGACTATTGTGAGGATTAAGTGAAATAATCCATATAAAGTTGTTCAGCACAATGCCAGGCACATAGTAAACATTCAGGAAACTTATTGAAATTATTACTGTTTCTGCTGGCTTGTTGACACATCTCTTGTAAACTGAAAATGACAAGTTGAGCTTCTATTGACCTGTTTAAGCCTTGCAAACAAAAGGCATTTCCAGCCAAATAATATTTCCCAGCTTTAGGCCATGAGGTTGGCACCTGCAGTAGTCTCCCACACGGCAGGGTGAGGGCCTTGGGAAAGTCCTCATAGCAGATGGGCACTGCCAGGAAACAGGATGCATATATCAACTTCCTAGGGAAAGAAATGGAAGCTGTCCTTCTCACACTGCAGCACGACCCACCAGGGAAAGGAATACACATCTGCATCTCAGAGGACACCAGGAAATCAAAACAGAAACTGGCCTAAATGAGATGTCCCATCATCTGGTAGGAGAGAGAAAAGTGTGTCACAGGAGGAGAGAGAAATCTGTCAATTCCTATGTTGGAAAACACTCTAGACACAGACATCTCCAATTTCTCTGCCCCCACCATAGATAGGATAGAGGTTAAGAGGCAGGTTCTAGAGTCAGGTAGACTTGGATGACAATCCTGGCTCTTGCACACATGAGCTCAGGCATGTTAGCCAATCTCTTCGAGCCCTAACCTCCCCATCTGTAAAATGGGGACAGTCTACTTGCCTGGTAGGACTGATGTAAGCATTATAAAGAACTAACATACGCAAAAGCACTTAGCAAGGTGTCTGGCACAAAAGAAGTAGTCATTGAGGCTGGCAATCACAATTATTGCATTACTTGACCCCAGTGATTTCCTTGAGACAGAGGATCTGCCCTCTTTCAAAGAATTCCCTACTCTCTGGAAAGACTCCGACTTCCCAGAGTTTAGGCCAACAGGATGAATGTTCTAGGAGAAGCAGGTGGGTCTTCTAGGGTTTCAGTGGAGGTGAGTTCTGCAAACTTTTCAATTCAATACAAAATAAAGTGTCTTAGAAGAGGAGGCATACTATAGCTGCTCTGTAGGGGATGGTGATACGGGGTGTGGGAAAGAAACCTCAGTTTGGAGTCAGAAGCCCTGGTGCTAGTTTTGTTTTCCCAGTTTTCTTGAATTGTGATAAAATACACATAACATGAAATGTACCATCATAACCATCTTTAAGTGTACAGTTCAGTAGTATTAAGTACATTCGTAATGTTGTACAACCACCACCGTTGTCCACTTCCACACTTTCCATCTTGCAAAATTGAAACTCTTTACCTATTAAAACTAATTCCCTTTACCCCCTCCCACTGGCCCCTGAAAACTACCAATGTACTTTCAATGTCTATGAACTTGACCATTCTAGGTACCCCATATAAGTGGAATCACACAGTGTTTGTCTTTTTATGACTGGCTTATTCCACTTAGCATAATGTCCTCATGGTTCATTCATGTTGTAGCATGTGTCAGAATTTTCTTCCTTTTTAAGGCTGAATAATATTCCATTGTGTATACAGTCCACATTTTAGTTACAGAAGCCCTGGCTTTGAGGCCTGACTTTCCAGCTTCCTACTAGCTGTGTGACTTTTGCCAACTGAGCCTCTGTGAGCTTCATTTTCCATATCCCCAACTACTGGGAATAATGACAGTAAGTACATGACCAGGTTGCTGTGAGGTTTGAATGAGGCCACAAATATGTAAGTGCTTTGTAAACAACAGAGTGCTATATCATTCGTTTATTCACTCCAGAAATACTAACGAGGGGCAATTCCTTGTTAGCCAATATGCTAGATCTTAGTGTCAAAAAAAGGTTTTAGTGGGATCCCTATTCACAATAACATCATAAAAGAAATGTGAAAAACATGACCCAGAAGACAGCGTGGCAGGGATTATTATCTATTATAATCCCTGCCATTTACTGAGTGCTTCCTGTATACCAGGCCCCTGCAACTATAGTGTATGTAAATAACCTCATTTAATCCTACTGATGTAGATACTGTTGTTACCCCACTTAACAGACAAGGAAACTAAGGCTCAGGGAAGTTAATATCCCCCAAGTTCAGGCATCTCATAAATAATAGCCAGGATGTGAACTCCGATTTCTCTGACTCCAAACTCGTTTTCCTTCCCACAGTACCATACTTCCATCCACAAATATTTCTTCCCTTACTGGTCTCACCACCCAAATCTATCATCCTCTGGGACACCAGGACAAATTTCAAGAAATCAGTGTGTGCTCGCTGAGACCACTGGAAAGTATGGAAGGAACTGATGGTCATTAAGTATTTTAGAGTATAATGTGCATTGTTGTATGTACAACGTCCAATGCTGCGTGGGATCTCAGGAGCCATATTTCAGAGAAAGGATTAAAAGCTGGGGTAGCATATCCAAAACTAAATTCCATAAAAATACAACATCACAACATCCAGCAAGATGTGAACAGTTGTTCTTTGAAAACAAAACAAAACAAAACAAAACAAAACGGTGGTCCAGTAAATTTAGAGCACACCAAGTTTGTTTTTTAATATCCCAAGTCTTCAGAAGATTTCATCCATACTAAGATACACTGTGGAGTCCAAAAGGAGATATAGTCCATAGGGGATATATGTTTTTAGATCACTGAAAATTCCCCCTCAATCCCCTCATTAAACATCTAGTAACATCTCACAGAACACAGTTTGAGAAGGGCTGGCTTTGGGATTCTCAGAAAAGCTGGGGAGGTTTACAATTTACCACAAGCCTTTATCCTCACCCTTTTTTTGTTCTCATCATGAGCCTTTGTGTCTGGTTCTATTCAAAATAGCTAACATTTATTGACCAGGTGCTACATGCCAGACACTGACTTAGGCACTGGAGACTCAAAAAGACGGCTCTGCATTGCTGTTAGTCACCAATCTTATGAACCAAGAGACGATGTAAACATGATAGTGTGGTCCTACATGGTCTTCTATTATCATACTTAGCACTAATGGGGGATTTAGAGTTGACAGAGAACGCTTCAAAGTCTTTGATTGGAGAAATCTCAAAGTGCCCCCACAGGATGGACAGCAACAACTGAGTGGAGAGAAATCTTTTATTTTTTTTAAGAGACAGTGTCTTGTTGTCACTCAAGCTAGAGTACAGCTGCATGATCAAGTGGACCTCCCAGCTCAACCTAAGTAACTGGGACTAAAGGCACATGGCCACCATGCCTGGCTAACATTTTTTTTTATCTTTTGGTACAGAGAGGGGTCTCACTTTGTTGCCCAGGCTGTTCTTAAATTCCTGGCCTCAAGCAATCCTCCCACATCAGCTTCCCAAAGTGCTGGCATTACAGATGTGAGACACTGTACCTAGCTGAGGAATTTTTTGTAAAGACATTTCACCATATGGGCCCATGGGCAGATGGACACCCCTGAGGGCTGGGCTCACTGAGAGGTATGTAGAAAGTTTTGAGCTCAAATGCCAATATTGCTATTCATTATGTGACCTTAGATAAGTCCCTTAAACTTCATCTATAAATTGGGAGTCATTGTATCAATTCCAGAGTTGTCAAGCTTATCAAAAGAATCAATTGTATATAAAATGCTTAATGACCTGCCTGACACCATGCTCAGCACATACTAATTCCCTGTTCTTTGATTGTTGACAACCTGGAATACTGTGTTAAGAAAGAGTTTGAAGCTAGACATGGGCCTGGGATAGAAAGAACTTTATGGTTGATTAGCACGGTTTGCAATGAACTTGAGAAGGAAGGGGTAACATAGTGGCTCAAGACAGCATTCAACTGAATGCCTCCCAATGGATCCTTGCCCTGACAGAATGAGTTTCTAGTGACCTGGGGAACCCCAGAAGAAAGTCAGTAGCCCTATTAGAAGACTCTCTTACTTCTAAGCCCCTTGGCAGCTTTTCAGCTTTCCTTTGTACCCCTCCATTTCTCCCATTAAAAAAAAATAAGCAAGGTTGATTTCTTCTTCTTTGTAAAGTAAGGAGGTGTTGTAAAGCTCTGGACCTAAAAGAATCTTTTTTTGAGTCTGAGGCCCATGCATATTGCCTACTAATGAGTACCAGTCCCATTCTGAAGGCTCAACAGGAGTCTGCAGAGGCCCTTCCAGAGGGAGCTCAGAAACCCAGATAAGGAGACGTTCTGCTTCCAAGAAACACAGAGATTAGGCTGGGCTTGGTGGCTCATGCTTGTAATCCCAGTACTTTGGGAGGCCAAGGTGGGCGGATCATGAGGTCAGGAGATCAAGACCATCCTGGCCAACAAGGTGAAACCCTGTCTCTACTAAAAATACAAAAATTAGCTGGGCGTGGTGGTATGTGCCTGTAATCTCAGCTACTCAGGAAGCTGAGGTGGAAGAATTGCTTGAACCAGGGAGTCAGAGGTTGCAGTGAGGTGAGATCACACCACTGCACTCCAGCCTGGCGACAGAGTGAGACTCCATCTCAAAAAAAAAGAAAGAAAGAAACACAGATTAAGTAAGAGGAGAGAGAGTCCCTAAAAAGCATTTTGATTTCACATTCACATATTAATAATATGTTTGTGAATTATAATTAGAATTATTATTAATCACTATTTTTATCTTATAATTTCTGTTGTACTCTAAAGACAGTTTAAAAACAGTAAAAACAAAAAAAGGAGGTGTTTCTCAGATTGTTTCAGAGATAACAGAGAAAAAGCAGAGAATTTGAAAAGTGGAAGAGTCTTAGGACTTCAAGTAAGGTCCATTCCTTTCATTGTACAGGTTCATTTCATTGACATATATTCTTTTCACATTATCTATGTCCCAGGGATGGTGCTAGGCACTGGGGTGATGGCAGATGAACAAGACAGACACAGGTCTTGCACTCTTGGAACTTAGAGTCTAGCCAGGAAGATGGGCCACAAATAATCAGACAAGCAACTAATTAATTATCATTGTGATCAGTGCTGTAGAGTTGTCCAGGACACTTTTAGGCACAGAAGAGGAAACACAGATCCAAGAGAGAGGAATTAACACGTACACTCAGCTGGACAATTTTGGAGCTGAAATCAGAATTGAGGTCATCTGCATCCCAGGTCATTGCTTTTCCCACTGTGCCTCTGCTGGGGTACTGGTACCCTGGACTGGGAGTCTGGGAGAAGAATCCAACATTAAGAGTATGGTGAGAGCAAGCACTGGATTTAGAGGTGGTTTCAGTTCTAAAAGTCACTAGTTCATTGAATGACCTTGAACTCTTTGTGCCAGTATTTCTTTTATATTAAATAGAAGAATATATTTTAGGGGGCTGATACTCAAATGAGATAATGTATATAAAAATGCTTTAAAAATATAAAATGCCATACAAATGTGTTTTATTGCTAACTCTTAATATATCATCTGTCTCGTCACCTCATCAGTGTCCTCTCCCCTCTCCACAACTCTAGCAGGCACCAGGATGCCACCTACCACCACTGGTTTTGGGTAACTTAACAAAAACCTATTAAGTCTAACCTACTTCTAACCTCCCCTAGTTCATTCCTCTCTACACACTTTTAAACAGGTGCACCTTGAAAAAAAATTGTAAAGCAAACATACAGGATTCTCTACTCCTGCCCCTGACCTACAACTTCCCAATAAAGAAAAGACTCAGTGCCAACCTATCACCAAAAGCTTGTGTTTATAAATGCAATAAAACATTTTTAGTATTCAGAAAAAGAGTACGGCAGTGGCAACTGGGAAAGAAAAGCAAGTAGCCAAATTTCTGCAGCTTTTGTAGAGAAACAACAGTGTGAACTTGGAGATTTATCTCTAAGCCCAGACACTCACTCATGCATTTTAGCAGTGGGAAATGGTTTTAACTATCACACAGTGGGGTCTTAAACACTAGAGCCTTCAACCATCAAGACAACAAAGACGAGAGAGGGAAGCCCCCGCAACAGGAATTAGAAAGGGCAGAGATGGGTGGTATAGACCCACTACACTGGCTGAGCTCTAATCTATCTGCTGTACTTTGCTTTGGAATTAATCAAACAAATCCCCTGATAAATCTAAGGCCGTTATTAGACAACACTAATATCCCCCTTAGAGTAATCCAGACAAATACATTCAGAGAGAGGGGAGTCCCAAGTGGCTGCAAAACAGACCACTTTCATGCTCACACATATCCACACAAGAACACGTGAACGGGCACTGCTCCCCACCCCCTCACCCCCAGATGTCTGCTCCCAACAGCACCATCAGTTTCTGCCCTGCTGGCTTCAGGAAAGGGGAATGAACCAAAGGATAGAAGAACAGGGCCCAGATTCCCTCCCCTCCCCAACTCTGCCACTGACCTAATTTTCCACAAGAGAGGATTTTTCCTTTTTGGTCCTGCTTATTTGTAAATCATGCCACCCCACTGCACATACAGCTTAAGGCGGACCTAGCTAGGAAGCATGGAGAAGTCAAGAGGCTTGGAACTGTGGCCCCAGCTGCCATTTCTTGGGGAGGCTGGGTCAGTGGAAATTCTGTTAGCTCAGCAGAGGGGTTGGGAAGCAGAAGCTAGAAGGAGGAAGGCACAACGTCAAGCTCATCCCAATTTTACATCCTTACTCTGCCCCTCACTGAACAAGAGGGGCTGTAGATTCTATAGTGACCCAACAGATATCTGCTGCCCACTTTATGTATGACCTCGGGTAAGTTTCTTAATCCTTCTGAGTGGCTGGTCTCTATAAACAACACAGGCTATTTTGGTCCTGACGTTTTGACTTCATGAATATGTTTTGGACACATTCCTGAGAAACTATTAGGAAAGGGACTGACGTTAGTTGTAGGAAGAAGATTTGGTTTTTCAAACTGCAAAAACTGACCCGGAAAAAAATTAGACCTGTCAGGAAAACACACACACACACACACACACACACACACACACACACACACACACACACACAAAATAGAACTGACAGCAGCTAAAAATGCGCATGGTGAAATTTGTTATTAACTAAAAAATTGAAGGAAGGATCAAACATTCTTGACAAAATTTAGACCTGCAAATCTGATGTGAGAAAATTGGATGTGGCAGAAATAATGGCCACAAAAGAACATTCACAATAGTAGAAGCCGTGTCGGTAAAATTTGATAGGCACACGAAAAATAACTGATTGATGAATCAAATCTTCACTATAGAATACATATGGAGCAGAATTGATCTTGTTAAAAATAATTCAGTAAGATAAAACTGAATTGAAAAAATAAGGAATGGTTTAACTGTGCTGAAGAAAAAATGAATCGAGGAATTATATGACCCCCGTACTGTTTGCTTCTGAAAAATACTCCATTGATAAAAATGCTGCAGTCTTTGTCTAATTCCGATTATGCCAACATAGAGGTAAAGGGCCTCAGGGTCAAAACTGTACAATCAAAGTATCTTGATTAATGCTGAATAAAAATAAATTATATGGTCTCAGAGCTACTATTTGCAATTTTTTCTGATAAATGATCAGAATAAAAAGTGGATAAAATCATACAAATACTTTACTCCTAAAGGAAACGAAGCTAACATCTGCAACAGTCATCTTCAGATTAACAGAGTTTATTTACCTCTAATATATCTAAAGCAATTTTGGAAACTAACATTGGCTAACTGTATTTCTCTACTACCAAGAAAGAACAAAAACTAAAAACTGACACTTTATATCATCATATTCTCTTAAAAAGAAAAGGTCTTTTCACATCCCCAAAATAAAAGGGCATATCCCATAAACTAAAAAAAAAGTGACTTCACCAAAAATGTACTACATTGTTTATTTTTATTGTTTTCATGCAGGATGGAAAAACTTCACTCTAGCGCCTTGTGTATCTTTGTACTACTGGGTGGAGGGTAGATCGGGAAGTCTCTGTGCTTCCGTCTCCTCATCTGTAAAATGGGAATAAAAGGTGAAGCTATTCACAGTGCCCGAAACGTAGTAAGAGGTCAATAGATGCTAGCCTAAAATCAAGGAAGAATGGCCCATCAAGAATCAGGCTGACTCCCCAGCCTCAGATTTTCCACTACTCCTCTAAGTTGAGAACCTTTTAGATGTTCTGGAACATAAATGTCCCTGGCAACAACAGCTGAAGAGCAGAGATCTATCAAGACAACAACCCCTTTCTCTTCATGTACCGAGAAAACAAACTGTGGCAGGTGGGAGGACCTGGGAGGGCAGGACTGAGACATTAAGGAGGAGGAGAAGCTATTTGGGAATTTTCAGGCTGATCTATGGCACTATGGGTGGGAGCCACACGGTGCAGCTATTCGAGCAATAAGTTTCTCAAGGCTGGTGGCAAATTACATTATTGCTTTCTAGTCCCAGCAGCCCTTCATTTTTACCCTTCTCCCACAACAGAGCTTCCTTTACATAGACATTCTACCCCTGAATCCTTACCTCCAAGATTCTGCATTCTGGAAGGAGAGGGCCATGTGTGTGTCCACTTACCAGCCAAGGTGAGCTGCCCTCATCCTATCACACTGATGGCTTCTCTCTTTCCCCAACCCCAGTCAGTCCTCCACCCATCCGTCTATCCATCCATCCATCACTACCCATCAACCATACTCCAAGCAAATACATAAAAGTGAAAGACATAGTTCTGGCCAACGATATCAAACTAACCAATCTTGTTCTTCAGCCAAGCAAATGACAATGAACACATACAGCCCCGCTGCCTGGCTTTCTCCCCTGCTCCTTCTCATCTTTGGATGTCACCTCCTCAGAAACACCTCCCTGACTACCCTGGTTTTCATTAGATTTCCCCTCACTCTGTTCTTTCCATCTACAGCACTCATCACAAGTAATTACACACTTATTGGTTTATGTTTTCCATAAAAAAAATCCACTCATTTGTAAGTTCATTGCAGACAGGCGCCATAACTGTTTTGATCACCCCTGATTGTGCTTGGCAATTGATGTTCTTTTGAATCAATCAATTCTCCTTAGCCAAAATCTTTTTTCAGAGTGATGTAGGAGAATGAGTGCTAGGCTGGGAGTTAGGATATTTGAGTTCTAGTCCCAGTCCCAAGCCACTTGCTACCTGAGTGGCCCATTGTAAGTCACCTTGCCTCCCTAAGTCAGTTTCATAAAAGGAGGTTGGATTGTGATGCTTAAGAGGGGGAAGGGGTAAAGCAATAAAATGCATGAGTTGGGGAAATATATAAATTGAAATAATATTCACTTTACAATGTAATTGAAATAATATTCACTTTACAATTTAATACAAGTAAAAGATTTTCACTAAATCTTGACAAAAAGCCTTTTGGATAGTGGTGGACAACAGACTAACAAAAACAGTAACAAAGATTACCTGGAGGTCATAGATTTTAAAAGATGGAGAGAATATGCGATTCCAGCCCAAGCATCGTTCTAGATCCATCTCAATGATGGCCAATGAGATGGAATAAGACAACAGAATAAAAAGCAGTCCAGGGCAGCTTGTATGTTTCTCTTTGAAGAACATGTGTCTGAATCAGGATCAGAGCAGAGCAAAATCAGTTATGTGCAGGAGAGGGAGAAGGTCAAAAGACAGGTCAATGAATACTGGCAGTGTCTTTGCATGCTAGAGACCCCCCAGCTGGGCCAGCCGAGGACAAGGTTCAGTCACTGATATCCACAGGAGCCCCCCCGCCCCCATTCAATGCCAGATTGAATAGGGGGTGAGAGAGAGAGATGAGTAAAGAGCTCAAATTCCACATCCACTGCCTGGGCTCTTTCCTTAGACAGATGCTTTCTCTCTTCAGCTACAGTTTCCTCATCTGTAAAGCCAGGACAACCACCACCTCCTTCCTGGGTGGAAGCGATTGGGAGAATGAAAGAAGTCACACATGAACATACTTAGGCCAGTCCCCAGCACATAGTAAGTGCTTCATGAGAATTAGTTAACTGTCATTATTATTAAATTTACCCAATCAAAATAAGAAGGAATAAATCATAAGACTTGTGTATTAGTCTACTCTTAAGCTGCTGATAAAGACATACCCGAGAATGGGCAATTTACAAAAGAAAGAAGTTTATTGGACTTACAGTTCCACATGGCTGGGGAGGCCTCATAATCATGGTGGAAGGTGAAAGGCACATCTCACATGGCAGCAGACAAGAGAAGAGATCATTTGCAGGGAAACTCCCGTTTTTAAAACCATCAGATCTTGGGGGACTTATTCACTATCATGACAATAGCATGGGAAAGACCTGCCCCCATGATTCAATTATCTCCCACCGGCTCCCTTCCACAACATGTGGGAATTATGGGAGCTACAATGAGATTTGGCTGGGGACACAGAGCCAAACCATTTCAACTTGGATGAAATTAAAATGCATCATCAAGGCCTACTCAGGAGCATGATTAGAGCTGGGCACTAAACTTAGAAGCGTAAGTCCTAAGTCTGCTGGCTTCATTTGTGGTCCTCAGCCAACAGACCCAGGCTAGGAGAGCCAGTCCAAGAACAGTGAGTCCAGTAAAAGCCCTGGACCTCCTGTGTGTGACTTCTTGGAGTACCTTAATCACACTCCTGAACTTCACAGGGTCTTTTCTCTGCCATATGTGAAGAGAGACCAATAAACCCATAGAGACCACTGTTACACATATGTCTCCTTTAATGCATACACCACTCTATAATTGCTTGGTTAATTAAGCTGCAGGATGTGCCTGTCTTGCTCACCAGTCTTACCACCAGTGCTTCTCCTGACACACAGTGAACCTCAAATAGTGTGCATTGTTGTTGGATGAGGTGGAAAGAGATAGCTTTCTGATAACATTCCCGAGTTTCAGCGAGAGAATTTGTGTAAAGCATGCATGTCCACATAGGCTCCATTTCTTGGTTCCCATCGCATACCAGCTGGGCCCCTAACACCTCAGTCTCTTCTGCTTAGAAAAATGAAGGCGTTGCCCCTCCTCCCTAGGCTCCCCGTTCTGACTTACGCTAGATAAGCAACTTCAGATTGCTGAACAGCAACACACAACACAGCTGGGTGATAATTCCTGTGTCCTGAAATTCCTGGAAAACTGATGCACAGCAAGCATTCAGAGCACAGACACAGCCCCCACCCCCAGTCCTAGAGAGTTGAAGGCAGAAGGAAGGGCAGCAAGCAGGCAACCAGAGCTGAGCCTCAATTTCCTTAAATTATTTTGCTGTCTTTCCAAGCATCCCACCTCTGGGCAGAGATAAAGAAACCACAAGTGAATTAATTACCAGCACTTATATTGCTAGCTGAGCCAGGGCTTCCAGCATCTCTTGTGTGGGCATCTCACTCTTTCAGCCCACAGAGACCAGAGGTAGGAGAATTTCTTCCCTCGATCCCTAGAGGTATATGGCTTTGAGGGGAGCTTTAGCACTGGCACCCCCAAGAGTTCTACGCCAGACCCTCAGAAAAACTTAGCCAAAGCATTTCATGTTTAATCATGTTTAACTCACGTGGTCTCAAAAAAGTGCAAGGTTCAAATTAGAATACCAGTTTGCTGATCTTGGGTAAGTCACTTCATTTCTCTGCGTTTGTTTCTTTCAGATCTTTGAGTTCTTGCTCTTATGGGACCTGATGTTCTAAGAGCCAGAAACTCTGTCATGTGCAAAAACATTCAAAACCCTCAGGTTCGTCATCACCGCATATGAGACTTAAGTTTCTACTTGTAGGATTGTTTCTTTTTTTCTTTCTTTTTTTTTTTTTTTGAGATGGAGTCTCGCACTGTCGCCCAGGCTGGAGTGCAGTAGCACGATCTTGGCTCACTGCAACCTCCACCTCCCAGGTTCAAGTGATTCTCCTGCCTCAGCCTCCCAAGTAGCTGGGATTACAGGCACCCGCCACCACGCCCAGCTAATTTTTTGTGTTTTTAGTAGAAACGGTGTTTCACTATGTTGGCCAGGCTGGTCTCAAACTCCTGACCTTGTGATTTGCCCACCTCAGCCTCCCAAAGTGCTGGGATTACAGGTGTGAGCCACCGCGCCCGGCCAGGAATGTTCTTAAATGAACAGACCTCACTACATTGAAGGTAGAAGAAAAACCAACATGAATAGTTTTTGAAACTAAACAATGCAATTCTTCATCATTTTATTGTAATTTTCAACTGCAAGCCCCAACTTCAAGAAGGTTAAGAAGGTACACTCTTTCATTTATTCACCAGTGAAGAATTTTAAAGAATTTTCTTTCACTCCTAGTTTCCTTCTACATGTCTGGGTATCTGCTATAGTCTATCTTATGGATTCCTTTCCCCCACGATCCTAAATATTACAGTTCCCAAAGTTTCTACATTTAGGCTCCTTTTCCTCTAAACCACATTCCTTCCCTAGGCAGCCTCATCCACATCCAAGTCTTTCCCACCACAACAACCACCCTGAAACTTGTGGCAGCCCCCATCCTCCCCCCGCCAATGCCAACCATTGCCCCCACCTGCCCCTGTACATCTCCCGACAAGGGTCCTATAGGATCTGCAAGGAAGGCAGGATAACGGCCAAATCAAAATCTATTTTTACTCCTCTCTCATCTTCACCCCAAACCTGCTCCTCACAATGGCTTTCCTGTTCTACATTCCTACAACCAGAAGGGCATATTATTGAAGCTCTGTCTTTCTCTTTTCAATTACAATAATGGCTAACATTCACTAAGGGTTTACTATGTGCCAAGCATTGTCCTGAGCACTCTACGTGCACTATCTCATTTAAACCTCATAATAGTCCTAAATGGTACACACTATTATAATCCCCATTTCACAGATGGCAAAATGGAAACACAGAGAAGTGAGATTATTTGCCCAAATTTGCAGTTTAGTATGTGACAGGCAATCTGATTCCAAAACTAAAATTAATACCTAATTATTAAGTTCCTCTCCTTGATATCTCTGCAATCAGCCCTTCTTCCATCACTACCCACCCCTTAATACAGACTCCTCTCTCACCAAAACCGTACAATAGCTTCTATCTAGCTTCCCTCCTTAAGCCTTCCTATCATCAATCCATTGTACAAACTGGCCCTAGAGTCATCTTTCTAAAATTCAAATCTGACTGTGTCACAATTCAACTGAAAAACTTCCAATGGTTCCCGGTTGTGGAAAAAATAATGTCCAAAATCCCTACAAAGCAGTTAAGACATTCCCTCCCTAACTCATCCTCTCGTTACTATCCCATTGGCCTCAATTCTTTGGTCCAACCACATTGACTACCGCAAACAGCTGGAAACAGCAAGCTGCTCTCTCATAGAGCTGCCCTGATGTCCTTTCCTCCCAGTCTCCCAATTAATGCTTCCATGTCCTGCCCAAGAATTTGCTCTGCAAAGTTTCCTCCAATCCCTAACTCTCACTTCAAGTGCACAGGCACGCGCCCACACCCAGGTATGGTAACATGCTCCCTTTTAAGCTGCTTTACAAACATTCTACCTGCTATTAGAGCAACTCTGATATGTGCTATATACTTCTTTGCCTGACAAGCTTCCCAACTAGACCATAAGCCCCTTAAGGGCAGGGATCACACTGGTACATTACAGATATCCATGTAGTGAATGTCAGGTGAATAAACTTATTCCAATAAAGAGATGGCCTGTTCCAACAAGTAGATGATTATACTTCAAGGATTGCTTTGCAAAAGCTTGGAGATAGTTCAGAGACTTTGCTCTCTTACACAAAACGAAGTTGCCCCAACAAATGTTCATACCATGGTTTTCATACCAAAAATGATAGCGTTAGTAATCCTGAACAGAGTGAGGCCTCTGAAGAAGGAACTGTAACTGGAGTATCTCCCCATGAAGCCCTCAGAGCCACCTGGCAGGTCAATCAAGACCACCACAGGCAGAACTGAAGGCAGAAGTAAGGAGCCCAACACATACACCACTGGCAGCAGGAATGCCTTAGGTATCACCTGATCCTGAAAGCTGCAAGCCCTGGGGATAAGGGATTGCTACAGGCAGTCAGGAGTAACTATAACTAATTAAAGAGAGATAAAGGTAGATTTGAGTGTTGATCAGTGGCCTCCCACCCTCTCTGAACAAATTCCCCATGAGAAAGAAAAATTTACTACGCTCTCATAACAGATGTATATTTACTTATTTAAAAACTTGCATATGAGTTATCAATGCATTGTTAACTTACGTGTGTTGCATGGATGCAGGTTCCTAGGAATATGAGCTCAATGTCATCTGTTGAACAAATTAATCAATGAAGTCAGGTCCTGCATCCCCAAAGAATGGTCTTGGCCTGTGCCCTATTTGGAGGCCACTGATCTAGAGAATAATCTTTCTCACCCCCTAAAAGGGGGTGCATGATGTGCATAATCAAACATGAGGGTGGGCCTGGCTACCAAGACCCCAAAACCACAGAGTCCTTGGATTGAAGGCATGCACATGCTGGCACATGCTCCTGATAGCTTCACGAAGGCACCTGCTGTGCCCCTTTTGGGAACAGAGCTTGCCAAAGTTGTGCGTTCTGTGGTCCAACACCTCTAACCAACAGAGAATTCTTCCTCTGTGGCTCGGATTCCTTCGGCTTTCCTGCCAGTGTATCATCATCCTCCTTTGCATGGCAGCACTTCCAATATCTGAGGATAATTATCCTGTCTCTAGTGAGCTCCATCTTCCCCAGGGAATCCACATGAGCGAGTGGGGCCTCTCCATCTCCAGTGACAACAACGTGCCTGCCTCAAACAGCCATTCCACTGCATTGACATGGTCCCAGGCTGGCTACTGCCTATAATTGTTATAGGAAATCATTGGTTTGTAAACAAACCAAAAAAAAAAGTATTTCTAGTTCATCCTCAACTAGATCAAACCAAGCGGAATGTGTATGTGCTTGACACAGATTCAACAAAAACTGTCCCACAATAAAACTGACACTTTTCCCATTAAAAGAAAGAAGGTGTTTCCAACAGTGGCCAGTGTGGTCCGATTGGACCTGACTTCATTGATTAATTTATTCAACAGATATACTTGAGCTCATATTCCTGGGAACCTGCATCCATCCACCACACATTAGGGAGCACAGGCACACACATATATGAATACAGACACATATGTGCACATATAAAACCTGCATATACACACAATGTGATTAAGGCAACAAACATTTATTGAGTACCTGCTTTTTGTCAGAGACGTGACATTTAGCAAACAAGCCTGTAAGTGCATTAACTAAGGGAAACAGAGTCCTCCACCCTTGGTTTCACGTCTTACAGTTCCTAAAGAGAATACCTCCTCACATACTCCTGCCACAGGAATCAGGAAACCCAGTTGAGCAATCGCAACTTGCATTAAGGATAGAAAAGCCAAAGGGAGCCAAGAGACACATTAAAATGTAGCCACTGGTTATATATTCTACACGAGGAAAAAATAGCCCCAATCTGTGTTAACACAAGGCTGAAAACTCAACATCAGGAAGAGCAAATAGCAAAGTTTCCACAGCAACTAAAACCCAACCATCCTCTGCCCACGTGGCAATGACCACATGATGGTGTGAGGTGGTCACGCCCACTTCCCAGCACATGCGTGTGGTCCGAGGCCTGGCTGCACAATGAAACCACAGACGAGTTGGTGACTCTCATTCCATTTCAGTGCTTGGACTCAAAATGATGTCTGTGGGCTTTGCTCTTAAAAGTAAACTATTTTAAACCACAAAATGATGAGACGGGTTCCTTTTTTTTTTTTTTTTTTTCTGCTGCTGTGTCAGGTAAATGACTGTCAATGGGGAGATGGCTGACGGCCAAGACTAGCCTCATCCCCTTTAGGGTGCAGGAGCGAATTTGCTTGGCAGGCTTCCAGTCTATGCCAATGTGAGAGCAAGATCTTCCAGCCCTGCCTAAGCCCTTTCCCTGGGAGACTTCTGCCCAACAGTGCCAAAAACATGAGATACCCAGAGCAACCTGGCAGAGTAAGAAGCATTTTCGCACAGGGAATGTGCTTCCAAGGCCTGTCTCCAGGAGCAGCTACTCAATACTGCTTCATGTCATGTCCTTATCTTTTAAAAAAAAGAAAAGAAAGAAAAGAAAAGAAAAAAAATACTACTAGGCCTTTTAGCGAAATCTTTATTTCTGTTGGTGTGTCTGACTCTGGCTACCATGATGGGCTTGTTAGGCAAGTCTAATCCAATCCCCTTTTCATCTTCTCCAATGTATTCCAGAACTTCCAATCTTTTTTTTTTTTTTTGGAGATGGAGTCTCACTCTGTCACCCAGGCTGGAGTGCAGTGGCGTGATCTCGGCTCACTGCAACCTCCACCTCTGGGTTCAAATGATTCTCCTGCCTCAGCCTCCCAAGTAGCTGGGATTACAGGTGCCTGCCACCACACTCAGCTAATTTTTGTATTTTTAGTAGAGATGGGGTTTCACCATGTTGGCCAGGATGATTTCGATGTCCTGACCTCGTGATCTGCCTGCCTCGGCCTCCCAAAGTGCTGGGATTACAGGCATGAGCCACCGTCCCCAGCCCCCATGTTTTTGTCGCAGAGAAATTCAGGATTTCCAGGAAGCTCCTTGGAAATTCAGAGACGCTAAAAACCTAGTTGGGTATGGGGGAAGATGGGACATCACAGGTTGATAAAATGAGGCACTGACAAAAGAGCCAGAGATAGGGCTAACCATGAATCTTTCACAGTGCAAGCTCCCCAGAAGCAAAATGACTGGAGTATGAGTCACCTGCTTACATCAAATCTCTTCCCACATCAAGCCCTCCCACACTGTTTAAGATTAATCATAAGCAGTTAATTCTAAATAACTCAGTGGTATGTGTACTGCTAGCACCATATTAGAGAATCCCTTAAGAATTTTACCTTGGCACAAGGGTTAATTCCTGCGAAGCATCATTCAGAACTGTTAGAATCAACCCACCCATCTTCTTCACCCACATGGCCCATTACAAAGGTCAGATTACTTTAAATAGAATGAGGACCAATGAGAAAGTGGCTGGGGCTGATATAAAGAAGAGCTCCCTGATACTCAGTATTGACCAGAGATACATTAGGCTGCCTTGAAAAGCACCAAGCTCCCATTATTGCAGATGGCTAGCAGGTTTTCTTTGGGCGGGGGGGCGGGGCACGGGGAGGCTCATTTTATATAGTGCAGAGGAGGATGAGAAATGAGTACTTAGATCCAATGACTTTTGAAGTCCCCTTTAAACTTATTATCCCATGATTGGTTTTTTTCTTTTTTTTTCTGAGATGGGTCTCACTCTGTTGCCCAGGCTAGAGTACAGTGGTGTGATTTCAGCTCACTGCAGCCTTTATCTCCTGGGTTCAAGCGATCCTCCCACCTCAGCTTCCCAAGTAGCTGGCACCACAGGCATGCACCACTTTGCCTGGCTAATTTTTTTAATTATTTGTACAGATGATGTCTCGCTATGTTGCCCAGGCAGGCCTCAAACTCCTGGGCTCAAGCAATCCTCCATCATCAGCCTCCCAAAGTACTGGGATTGCAGGCGTGAGCCACAGCGCCCAGACTCCCATGATACTTTATAATGTACCTTGGTTTCCAGTACATTACCTAGGGCAAAGTCACAGCTAGAAAGTAATACATTATAATAAATGTCTTAGCATCCTCTAACAGGGCCACATGATCCACACTTCATCCTTCACAGACTTCTCCTGCAACACCAGAATCTCCCCAAATTTCAGTGTGTTTCCTTAAAACTAAGCCGTGAGTCAAAGCACATCATGTGATTGTACAACACCTCTGCCTAAACTCCAGCCTTGTCTTTTCTGGCCCAGACAGAGCAAACATACTGTGGGAGGATTTGTCTTTCAAGGATTCCACAGGTCAGAGCTCAGTGCCCTTCAAGCCCACTCTTTCCCATTCTCTTAACTCTCAAGGCTAACCATGCAAGATACAGGGCCCCGTCTGGAAAGAAAAGAAGCCTGAGAGAATGAGGAGGAAGGAAGAAACTGAGTGTGTGGTAAACTCCCAGCCTGTCCAGCCCTTTCCCCATGATGTGGATCACAAAGAAGTGATCTCAGCTTTGCTTTCCAGCGTATCCCTCCTCGCAAGTGGGTACTCCTTTCTATTTGAAAGCAACCTATTAAGTAAATAAGCTGTACACACTCTCACTGTACTTTTTCTATTCTCCAAGAGCTGCAGGCAACACATTTCCAATCATACCTGGAGGAGAGATTGCAGAATTGCCTGAAATGTACTGCTTGCTACAGTGGAGACACCAGTCCTACATTACCAGCAATCAACCACAGGACTGTTGGGACTCCGTCTTCTAAGGACTTCACACGGGCAAACAGAACAACTTCAAGAGAACCAAGCTAGCAGATCAGAGGCAAAAGTGTCAGGAGAGGATCGGATGAATAGCATCTCATCGAGAAACTTAAAGGAAAACTCCCCAGAGTCATTTTCTTAGCTACAAAGACACCGTACTTAAATAAGGCTCTCAGTAAAACCAAAAGGATCCTATATGCATTTCACAGCCAGAAAACTTGAGCCAGGAGCTTTACATTGCCTACAGTTCTTGTCCCTCCCTCTCTTTCATCTTTACCTTCTTTATGCCCTTGCATACCTTTGGATGGTGCACTGTTTTTCCCCCAAAGAGCCAAAGAGTTCACAATTTCTAGGACTAGATGCAAAGTAAGTTTTGTCACAGAGTGCAACTGGGTAGTTTCTCTGGATGACTATGAGGTCAGCTTGCTTTTAAAAGCTACTGGTACCAGTTCCAGGATTTAAAAAAAAAAAAAAGAAAAAAACTTTGGAAAATACATTATTTAGGAACATTGTGGCCACAGTCAAGGTTTGAGAGCGGATATAGACGATGACACATTTAAAGGGAGTCCCGTATTGTTTTTAAATAGATCACTCAAAGACATCAATTTCTGGAGAACAACAGCAATAATGACAACCCACTGGCAATGTCAGTTCCCAAATAGACCAGGGAGACAGGCCTGCAGAGCCATACTTTGTCCTCCTCTGCCAGCCACAGCCTGATACCTGCAACACAGTTCCCAGCAAACCCCCCACTCCCCCTTACCTTGTGAGCCACAGCAAACTAAACCTCCCAACTTCAGCAGGGAAAAAACCCTCAGGAGGATGACTAGAGTGATCCCTCTGTCTAAATACCACCTTGTTCCTCTAAATCTACTGCAAATATTTCCAAACATTTCCTCCCTTTTCCCAGTGGATATCCTAGACATCTCCTCTTCCCACCACACCTTCCCAAATGACATTCCTATATTCCCTGCACCCTCCTGTACTCCCTAGCTCTGATTCGTCCACCTATGGTGGTTATGAAGTAGAAAATGTGTCTGTGATGAATGGTCACTGGTTAGAAGAAAAAAATGAAATCACACATACACCCAGAGCAACATTGCTGTCACGGACAGCAACAAGTTGTGTTAACAGAGGCGGATCCACAGAGGTGGGACCTGTTGCTTATGATATTTGGGAGTCCTTAAGAAAAAGAAATTGCAAATACAAAATTAGGTGTGGAGACTTAGAAGGGACCCGTGCAACTGAGAATGTACGAAAGGCTTAGTTTCATGGTAAATCCACCTCTGTAATCATCTCCCCCTCTCACACACACAAAGGAATAGACAAGAAGAAACAGAGAAAGATTGTTTTTTTTTACATGCAGAGAGAAGCTGAAGGCAGGAAAGTTAGGAGGAGTTTGACAGAGGAATCCAGGAGCTCCAACTCTCACCACCAACCCTGAGTGAGGTAATGGGCATTGCCTGGTACCTGGGAAACCAAAGGTAAGTTTGAAGAGGTCATCCTGTCCAGCGAAGCTCCGGTGTGGTGCACCTGTGCTCCAACTACCTCCGGAGCCTTGGGTCCAATCCCAGTCACTTCACTAAAACCAGAGTTTTGAGGCTGGGAATTGAATACTATACTCATATTCATTCATTTTCATTTTCTTTCCTATTCTCCCTCTCTCTCTCTCTCTCTCTCTCTCTGGCTAGAAGGAACAAAGCCCCTGAGACAGGCCAAGCTGATAACCTCCTGCACCAGGAACTTGACATTTTGCTTATCATCCGCATCCAGGGAGGCAATGCTCCATCTCACGACAGAGACACAGGCCATTTGAGTTTATTGAGGGAGCCCAGAAGCAGAGGTAAAATGCCACATTGAGGGCCTGGGCTCTCAGGTCCTAGAGATGGCTGCCCAAAGGCAGCACCCACACTTGCCCTCATACCCTTGCACCCATGACACGTTCAGGGTCTGGGTCTCATCTATTCAGTGGGATGCTAAGGCCTGCCCTACCTGCCTCACTGGGTGGCTGCTGAGGCCAGAACACCACACGTTTGCCGGCAGAGCCCTGAATCCCATCCCGCAGTCATAACCATTGTCAGCAGCCCCATGCTCTTGGGCAGGAGCAAATGGAATGAAATTGGATTCTGTACACTTCCAAAATTCCCCTCCTTTTATCTCTACCACCTTTCAGACTGGGATAAGGGAAACTGGTGGAGGTAGGGGTCGCTCAAAAGGAAGCATCAAATCTCCTGTGAAACCAAATTGATGTGCAGTTTGTTCTTACACAGGCCAGGAAACCAATAGCCCAGAGTCAGAACTTGCTCTTTCCTGGAGTCTAGGCAGATAACTTCATGTTTTATCTCATTAAATCCTTTCAACAACTCCATGATGTACGATTTTTTATGATTCCTGTTTCACTGAGAGTCAAGATAGCATGGTGGTTGACAGTGTAGGCTCTGAAGCCAGACTGTCTAGACACAAATTGCAGCTCTGCCTCTTAATACCTGCACAATCTTGGGCAAGTTATTTAACCTCTTGCCCCGAGCTTCCTTATCCAAAAAAATGAGAATCATAATCGCATGTCAAGAGTGGTTGCGAGGGTTTCAAGAGCTAGTGCATGAAAAGCACCTAAGACAGTGTGAGCCTGGAGCCAGTGCTCTGTGATTATTAGCTATCATTGTTACTAAAGAAGATACTGAAGCTTCAAAAACCTTCTCCAGAGCCATACAACATGTAAGTAGACAAGCCCAAATTTAAGTCCGGATCGTTTTCCCTCCAGCAGCCATACTCTTATCCACTATGCCAAACGGGGGGTTCAAGTTCCCAATTTCTCGGTTCCTCGGTTTCCTCATCCGTAAAATGGAGCTAATGGTATTAACTTCATAGGAGTTTTGTGAGAAATAGATGAGCCAATGAATATAAAAAGCACCTAGAATGTCAGGCGCAGGGTGGTATTTAATAAGAGCAATGGTAATAATATCATTATTATTTTGTGTAAGGAAGGGCACTCGACCTTTGGAGCCCTGCCCTAAAGCCTCCCTTACTCTAGCTCTGCCTCTGGGGCCTCACTGTGATGGACCCATACTATGGAGCCAGTGACTGCAAGTAAAGGGGGTCATGGTAGTCCCATCCCCCAAGTGCAGCCTGCAACACACACCCCACCTCATCTGCCCTGTGAAGGAGAAAGAGGACCCAGCTGAAGGACAGCTGCCCCAGAAACTGGAAACCATCTTTCTGGAGCAGCCTGCAAATGGAGATAGGGGTCTTGAAAATAATTAGCCCCCGGCATCGGTCCTGTGGTATCTCATTACCAAATGCAAATGCAAGTTCACGTGCTACTCTGAGGCTCCTGGCAAAATGTCTGCCTGACCCTCAGCCTTGCTGAATTTGGACCAAAGCATTATCCACTGCCCACCCTCTTTGCAGCCTGCAGCTGGTGGGCGGTTTCTGCAAAAGGAGAAGGCTGCTTTCACCTCATTGAAGGGGGAACATGGAAGAAGGGTCTTATTTCATTAAAGGAGGCAGAGATGTTAGGGGAGGGGGGAGATTTTAAAAAATTGCTTTTCCCTCAGCAGTTAAAAGAGGGATAATTGAAGCAAGTGGCAGGCGGCTGCTCTGCCATTTAGCATACAGTATACCCAGGAAATCTCACTTGGTAATCAGGAGGAAAGGAGGAAAAAGGAGCAATCAGACCCCTATTCAGGCTCCGTTTAGTGACAGCCCCTGCTGGCTGGGCTGGTGGAGAGTCAGGCTGGTCCCATGGAAAACCTGAATGCTGGGTGGGGAATCAAGTCTCAGAAGCAGCAGTCCCTCCTTTGTGTACATTTTAAGGCCCTGCTTCTGTTCTCTCCTTCCCAAACCAGGGAAGACTTAGAAAGGAGTAATCCTTTACTCTCTGATTATGCTCCACTTCCCTGCAGGACACCCACCCCTTCTCAAAGCCATTCAGAGCTGACACAGATTGGGAACAATGCCATGTTATAATTCAAGCAGCATGTGCACTGTGGAGAGGGAGAGGAAATGACCGGGTTCTTACACAAGTGCCCAAAACAGGAGGATCCAACTGAGGCAACCACTGGTCCCTTCACTACAGTATCTGATGTCTCTGGACCTCAGTAAATGCTCAGGGATAAGCAGCCTCCTCTTGGTATATGCCATTCCATCCTAGTCTTGGCTTTGAGAGATGGGGCAAGAGTCATAAATTCTCAATAAAAAAAAAAAGAAATTGAAATTCACTTTCAGGAAGGCATGCGAAGGCCACACAGTGGTGTTGAGCCATCAGTCAAACTGACCTGAGTAGGATCTGAGCTTCAGACAACAGGAGGTGGCGGGTGGGGGGGGGGGGGGCGGGGGGCGGTGGCTAGTCACTACTGAGGACCACACAACGGTGTGCTTATAATAAGGCTGTGGTCCCTATCACCAACACCCACCACGACACTTCACTAGAGGATTCCAACACTTGAAAACATAACAGCTAAGTATCGAGACAAACCGCTTCTGGTCTGGGCACCCACTCAAGTCCACAGGAGAAGACAGAAGACAAGTAATCAACTTTTTCTTTGTCAGTAGACTA